>NC_000010.11:86052186-86203701 GCF_000001405.40 Homo sapiens
AAGTATACATAGCATACCTGTATTTGCATACAGAAGTGAAGGAATGTGAATTTATACTCTTATCTGCTTATAATTATTTTAAAAATCTAGAAAATCCCCCTCTAAAAAATTAATAATATATTTATCTGAGGGAGTGGGGAGGGGTGAAATAGAGTGAAGCTTGGGAGAATTTTTACCCAATACCTTTTTACACTGTTAATTTTTGAAACTTTTCAAAAATTAAATGAATATGTTAAAGTTATTTCTTCAAAGACAGATGATGTCTGTGGCCCTACCACCCTGAACACGCCTTGTCTCCTCTAATCTTGGAAGTTAAGCAGAGTTAGGCCTGGTTAGTACTTGAATGGGAGACTGCCTGGGAATACCAGGTGCTGTCGGCTTTTTAAATGAATAGACAGATAGATACATATGTTTAAAAAAAATGAGATAACTAAATGTTAATGGAACAGATCACAGAGAACACAAAAATAAAAGAAACTCTGGTACTACAGAGATAAAGAACAAACATAGAGAAGAAGAATGGGAAAGGGAGTCAAACTCTGTGGAACTAAAGCAAAGTGCTAGAGGCAGATAATTGGGATTGTGAAGGAATAAGGCATACAATTATACACCACAACATGTTTGAACTATTCATATACATTACATAAAACTAATATGTATGTGCACACATATGCAGATTTCATAATTCAAAACATTTCAATAGGCAATGAATGCCCTTTGTCCCCAGCAATTGTAGATCTAGAAATCTTTTTAAAGAAAATCACTAAGAATGTGCTCAAAGACAGGTACAAAGCTGTACCTCACACACAAATGCTCAGAAACAGGTGATTAATTTAGTAAGTCATGGCCTCCCATACGATGGAATGCCAAGGCACCAAATTTATGCTGCAGCATATTTAGTGATACAAAAAGATGTTTACCCTCCGCTGCAAAGGTATACACTAACATATTCACTGCAGTTATCCCAGGGAATGGGGTAATGGATGACTTTTATTCTTTTTGCACATTAATATTTTCTAATTTTTCTACAATTAATATATATTCCTTGTGTAATAAAAAACAAAAGTTATTTACAAAGAAAAAAGAAAAAGCTGAGCTTTGTTGATTGATATCTGAGATAGCTACTCTCGTGGACATCTACTTGTCTCGATTCTTTGCTCCATTTTTTTTTGTTTTTTTGTTTTTTTTTGAGATGGAGTCTCCCTCTGTCACCCAGACTAGAGTGCAGTGGCGCAATCTTGGCTCACTGCAACCTCCGCCTCCCTGGTTCAAGCAATTCTCCTGCCTCAGCCTCCTTGAGTAGCTGGGACTATAGGCATGCGCCACCATGCCTGGCTAATTTTTTTTGTATTTTTAGTAGAGATGGGGTTTCGCCGTGTTGGCCAGGCTGGTCTCGAACTCAGGAGATCCGCCCGCCTCGGCCTCCCAAAGTGCTGGGATTACAGGCATGAGCCACCATGCCTGGCCTTTACTGCAATATTTTTAAAACTGTGCTATGGTGAAATCCAAAAGCTTTCCTCAGAGGCTTTCCTCAGGGGCTGCTGAGGGCAAGAGAGACAGGGAAAGGGGAAAGATGCAGGATTTGAGGCTGTCCTCCACATGCTGGCCCCCATCCCTACACAGACACACACACACTTACACATGCATGGGCACACACATGCTCATATGTGTGCATAAGCACATGCTCACACACGTGTGCACACATGCACACACACGTTTACACACATACACAAGCTCTCTTACACACACAGTCAGCCAGAGTAATTCCACTTTCCCATGTTTTGTAAATAGGCCTTCTGCCTAAAATGGAACCTTAATAAAGGAGTCTGTAGATGGAAAAAAAACACAAATACTATGCCATGAAGTTCTGTCCTTATGCCTAGTCCAGGCTCCAAAAAGCCACTTAACTCTCATGACCCCCTGAAAATGCCTTCTCAGAACTCATATAGTAAGCCAGAAGTGTTATCATCCCAGGCAGGCAAAAGAGCAACTCTGAAGGCCCAGAGTGCGATACCACAGGACTCACAGGGAGGCAGAGAGCAGGCTTTTCTGTCTACTCGAGTTGGGGCTGGGGGTTGGGGTGGGTAGCACCCAGCAGGCAAGGTGAAACCAGAGTGGGCATCAGAGACAAGAGAAATTCCTGGAAGGGAGTCAAGCCCCCTCCAGCTGATGCGGTTGGTCTTTGAGAATATGCTGACCCTCTTCTCTCATCAAAGATGACTTGTTGCTGGATTTAGGCAACAAATTTAGGCTGATCTTCCCCTAACTCTAAAAGAAGATCAAAAGCAGTGTCCTGCCAACCCCCTTCTGGGTGAGGGCCCCTCACTTATCCACAGCTTTCCTCCCTGGGTGTAAAGGAGAGAGCAGTGTGCCCTGCAAAGGCTCAGGCCAGAGGGACTTCTCATTTTGGCCCCTGGCTGCATAAAGTGGCTGACCCTGTGTCTAGCTCTGCAAACTCTTAAGTGTAATAATAACATAATAGCAGCTATCTCTTAATGTGTTTTCACTATCAAGCACTATAAGAACACAATCTTATTTAAGCCTCACAGCAAGGATATGAGGTGGTGTAGAAGATTCACTGTAAAAATGGTCCCACTTCCCAGTCCTCTCTGTATCCCTGCTCTTGGCCATGTGACTTTGCAGCTTCTCCCATTAGGGGGTGGGGTCTACATTTCATCCCTTGACTTTGGGCAGATATTGTGACTTTCTTTGGCCAATAGAATGAGGCGGAAGTGACGTGCCACTTCTGAGCCTAGATCTCAAGAGCTCTTGCCCATTTCCACTCACTCTCTGGGAATCTTGCCATTTCCATGAGAATGAGCCTGGGCTAGCCTGCTGGGGATGGAAGACCATGTGGAGAAAAGCCACATGAGCCAAGGCCACCCTCAACCAGCCAAAACTTAAGCTGACCACAGACATCAGTGACCTCACCCACGATCAGCCAAGCCTGACCCAGGAAAGCAAACCTACCCAGCTGACGTGTAGTATCACGAGAAATAAAACGTGGTTGTTGCCTAAAACTGCAAGTTTGGGGAGAGTTACACTGCATTATTATGGCAATAAATAACTGGATACAGGTGAGTACCATTATTGCTGCTAAACTCAAGTTGAGAAAGAAACTTTTCTGTTATGGATTGAATGTTTGTGTCCCGACACCCAGAATTCATATGTTGAATCCTTAACCACCCAGTGTGATGGTATTTGGAGATGTAGCCTGTGAGAGATAGTTAACATTAGATGAGGTCATGAGGGTGGGGCCTTCATGATGGGATTAGTGCTCTTTTAAGAAGAGACCCCTGTAATCCTAGCACTTTGGGAGGCTGAGGCAGGTGGACCACTTGAGGTCAGGAGTTTGAGACCAGCCTGGCCAACATGGTGAAACCCTGTCTCTACAAAAAATACAAAAATTAGACAGACATGATGGTGCACGCCTGTAATCCCAGCTACTCAGGAGGCTGAGACAGGAGAATTGCTTGAACCCAGGAGGCGGAGGTTGCAGTGAGCCGAGATTGTGCCACTGCACTCCAGCCTGGGCAACAGAGTGAGACTTCATCTCAACAACAACAAGAAGAAGAAGGAGAAGGAGAAGGAGAAGAAACGCCAGAACCAGAGAGCCTGTGCTCTCATTCTCTCTCTCTCTCTCTCTCTCTCTCATGTGAGGACACAGAAAAGAGGCAGCTGTCTGCAAGCCAGAAAAAGAGCCCTTGCCAGAAACCAACAGTGCTAGTACCCTGATATCGAACTTCCCAGCCTCCAGAAATGTGAGAAAAACAAATTTCTGTTGTTTAAGCCACCCAGGCTATGGTATTTTGTTATGGCACACTAAGCAGACAACGTCTCACAGCTGGTAGGTGACAAAGTTAGATTCCAAAGCTTAATAAGGAGTTCACAGCTTCCTGCCCAGCCTCAGGGCTGTGACCAGAGCAGGTGGACTCCACTCCACTTCAAATTTCTCAGCCACACCCTTGGGGCTGCCTCCTGCCTTGAGTTGTCCCAGAATCCTAAATGTTCTAGGCACATGGAATTCCAAGGCTGGAAACAGACTTGGAGGGCATTAACTCCAACTTCCTGGTTCTATAGATGATGATGCTGAAGACCAGATGATTCAAATGAATTGGCCAAGGTCAGACTGTATAGAAAGGCAAAAGAAATGTTGCAACAAAGATCTCCCAAGGAAGTGCTCATTTGTCCAAACCAAGCTGATCTGCTTTTCCAGGTGTAATAAGAACAAGGAAGAATTGTCCTTCAAGAATTCTCATCTCATTTCCAACCCGTGTCCCAAGGGTGCCAATCTTGAGTTCCAGAAGCCAGAACTCTTAGGATCTGCTTATGAATTCCTACTCCCACCTGTCCCCATTCCCAAACCCTTCCCCATAAATCAGACTGCCGAGCCACACAGTTAACATAGCACAGACAGATGGTAGGACCTGGGTGTCTCCTTTACAGCCAAAGAAATGAAGTTGCTTCCGCCCACCAGCATCATTGAGGCAGCAGCTCCCTGCATGCAGCAGACAGAGCCCCCAGGTCACACGCACAGCCTCTGCAAAGCCACGTGGTGGATCTTATAGCAGAGACTGTAGCTTAAGGAGGCTATTTGGCTGTTGCCCATACATATGGCAGCCTGGCAGGCCCTTCCAAGGGCTTGAAAACCACATAGCAATCAGGAGCCCCTAGGGCCTCGGGCCCATCTGCAGTGCAAAGACAGAGCCTCATTTGAGATGCCACGAAGCATCAGAAGATGCCTTGTGCTTCCTGCAGAGCTGGCGAACTGCCCCTTGCCTGGCTTTAGACTGTGGTAGAACTCTTAGCGAAGGTGAAGTTCCTTCAGCACATCCATAAAGGGCTGCTGTCCCTGGGACTCAGGCTGCATTCCAACTAACAAGACATGGTCCTGGCCCTCGAGAACCCTCCAGTGAGTGGAGAGGACTCTACAGAGGTTTCTACAGGGTTGTGAGCCCACAGAGAGGGCAACTAATCCTGGCTTGGAGAGAGAGACAGAGTAGAAGGAGCATTAAAGAAACCTTTTCAGAGAACAGGACATTTGGGTCTTCAAGGAGATCCCTCCTGCAGTCACTTCTCTGAAGATTTCACAGAAGTCACCTAGGATTCAGGTCAGGAATGAGGTGGATGAGAACTCTGCCTTCTGTGGTACCACATAGTAACCTCCCAGATGTGCCAGGTTCCCCAGTGTCTGGGATGACCTTCTTCTGCAATGGCCAGACATGGCCTGTATCCCCATCCTGCTTAGTGCAGCTGCACTGCATCAACCAAGCCATGGCTCTTCTCTGTTCTTAAATAAAGATGATAACCTTTGACGACACCCTGCAGTCTCAACCTTTGCCTACTCCATTGGCCCTCGGGTGTTCACTGTAGCCTTCCCTTGCTGGGTTCCCAACATCCCAATTTCCTTCAGTTCCTCGACTAACATCCCTCAGCACAGAGGGATCAGTTTTCCCACTTGGTTCAGTTTTCCCACTCTCAGGTCTCACCTCAAGGACCACTGCCTCAGGGAAGTCTTCCCTGACCCTCCAGTTTCGGGCCATTTCCTCAGTTACTCCCTCTCAGAACCACATCTCTTTCTTTCTCCACACTCTAATGCATCTTGACTTTATTCTCCTGGCCATGGAACTGTTTAGTTAATGTCTGTCTTTCCCACAAGTCAGTAAACCCCAGGAGAGTAGGAGCCATGCCTGCTTTGGCTTACGCATGCATGTTGATTATCTAACACTATGCCAGGCATGCGGTGTGCGCTCCAGAAATGTTCGTGGAATTCTAACTAGGAGTTTTGCCTTGGGAAATGGAGGATCCATTGTGTCATAGGTTAGGTGTCCCCAGAAGCAGATCTTGGGATCAAAATTTGAGTAGAAATCAGCTTTGGGGAAGTAAAACCAGAAAAATCTGATATGGAAGTGGGGAAGAAAGGGAGGAAGGAAGGGAGAGAGGAAGGGAGGAAGCTGGAGTGCACAAATGAGACCCCTGGGCCCCCCTTCCTCCCCCAGCCCTCCTATGGAAAGGAAGAGAGAAAGCAAGAGGCTGGATGGAACACTTGTGTGCAGAACAGGTCAGGTAGAAGCAAGGTAGAACTCAGCTCATTTCTGTGTGACCTTCTAGTTGGTTTGGATGGTTCCGGCCCCAGGTTCCAGGCATGCTGACATGAGAGCTATCAAGTCCAACCTCTCCATGTTCATTACAACTGGTTCCCCATTAGCCCACAACTTCAGCTTCTCCAGTACAGTGATCTTTTAAGATAACTTTCAGCCCACACTCCTGAGTCCCAGAAATACCAAAACTGGCTGATTAAACTAAAAGGTCCAACTCACTCTCTCCAGAGAAAGAAGTGACACATTGTATAGAGACAATGACCACAGCTCGAAGTTCTGGGCATCCATGTACCTTCATTTCCTGAGCCCATCAGATCTGTGCAAAATGACAGAAACTGACATCTGCCAGAGACCTGCGGGAGGGGATTCAAGACCCAAGAAGCAGGTCAGGATGTTAAGATGCCACCCTTCATCTTCCATTAAACTTCTTAATCTGCAGGCACCATGAACTCAGCCAAACATGCAGCAAATATTTTCTTGAGCACCCGCTGTGTGTCTGGCACCATGCTCAGCATGGGGATCACAGCTGTGAAGGGACACCAGGTCCCAGCCCTTGAGGAGCTTATAATTTAGGGGAGGACACATGCATCAATCAAATAATCACCCAAATGCATGCTAAACTGCAGCTGGATAAACGCTAGGAAGAACAGGTACTGGGCCCTGTGAGGACATAACACTGGGCAGCAGATGGAGTTTGAGCAGGGATGACTGATCTCATCTAGGGACCAGAGGAAGTCACCAGAGATGGATATGAGCTCATGAGGAGGAGGAGGCAGGGGAAAAGCATTCCAGCAGAGGAAGCAGCACGTGCAAAGCCCTTGAATAAGTCATGACAAAGCGGACCCATGGAGGATGAGGATCCATGTGGTCTCAGACAAGGCAGGCAAAGGGAGCAGGTGCGGCTGGTCCACAAGCGTTCTGAGTCTCGCTGTGTGAGTGGATATCAAGAGGTCTTGCTTGTCAGGGGCCTGATTACATCATGAGTGAGAGAGGGTAGACAAAAGTAACCTGCAGGTCACTCCTTAAATGCAAAGATGGTAAAGATACAGTGGGGCTCAGGAAGAGAAAAGAACTGTCTTCAGTTCGCACCTACTATGTGCCAGGCATTCTGCCATACACAGGTATTTATGAAATCCTTAGATTTGCGCATTCATTCAATGTAACAACAATTACCTGTGGAGCCACTGCTACTCTCTGTGACCAAGCAAAAGGCAAAGGTAATTTTTTTTCCAAAATCATCCTTCAATAAGAAGAGTGAGTGAACTTATATTCAAATTCCTGACAAACTCTCCTGTTAAAGGGCAGTTCTCTCATTTACTTTATTTTAACCAACAAAGTACCATTTGGGGAAAAAACATTAGCCTGAAATGACCTCAATCAATGCTAGTTTTGGATGCTCATAAGAGTTTGCTTGATGGAATCGTTAAAAGAGAAGGCAAAGATATTTAACCCCTATTTAATAATTATTCCTGGGTTTGACCTTAGAATTACAAGCTGGGGATGTTGTTCTAAACAAGTCTTTTACAAATCACTTTAAAAAGCAATATCAGAAGTAGTTACACTATGAAGATCATAGATATATACCTAAAGAAAAAAATGAAAATAAAAAAAACACTCTCCTAATATTATGCAAACGAGTATACGTAGCTTGTGATAAATTCTCCAGTGACAGCATTTTACACAAAGCCACAAAGTGTTGGGTCTCAAACAACTATGATGGAAGTGGAGATTCTGTGCCCTGGAAAATTGTGTTCAATGCTACGCACAGTGGCTCTGGCAATGATGGGGCCTGGGAAGGCTTTGAATAAAATTGCTCCATAACTGCCAGAAGGGGAAAAAAAGCAGATTTCTAAATTAAATACTATTTTACATGGCATGGGAATTTAAATATGTATGTGTAACTAAATTAATAAATCAAATGCTACAAATAGACATAAAGTCTTTCATCTGCTTCCCTAAGAGTTTTTATGTTCAACTACAAGTTGACCCCCTCCCCTAAATATAGGATTTCCCCACTGGGAAAATGCATAAAGCACTTTCTATTAGGAGATGTTCTGTATTCCAGCATTTATAGGAACTAGCTACAGGGGCGAAGTGGGAAGCTTGCCCAATTCTACCCACAAGATAGATCTGAACCCACCAGCCAGAGCACCCAATGTGGGCACCCAGACTTTGGAGGGAGCATATCCCCAGTATATTGGTGAGAGATCACATCCAGGGAGGCCTTGGAGGCTGAGCAGCTCAGGGGCACAGGCACAAAAGTCACAGCCAGGATTATAGCCCCATCTGCCCCGCTCTAAAGCCCGGGTCACTTAACCATGTCAGGTGTCCCCGGGTGTCGGATGCTCCACCACAGCAGGGCGCTGGCCTGGACTGGTTTCAGCACATGAACAGTGCTCCTGAGTTTGTGGGGAACAGAACCTCAGGCTGTGTCTCACTCAGTCCCTCCAGAGGACACGGCACCTAGTCCAGGCTCAAGACTCCAGCCTCCAGGCCACAGCTACTGCACCATGGCCAGCAAGCTCCTTGGATGCCTTGTACTCTCCATAGACTGGTCCCCTGTCCACAGGCAGCTCCCTCCTTGACAGATGTCAAGGCCTCTGGGTATCCACCTCCCAACAGAGCTGGCAGGCACTAGCAGATCAGTTGACTCTACAATGCGCCCCTTTCCAAAGAGAAGGCAGAGCAGCCTCCACCCCGCAGGACTCCCTATGCCTCCCCAGTTGCCTGCACCATCCTTCTAGTGGTCTCTCTCACCTTGGCCCCCATGGCACTGGCCCTTCCTGGTGCCTCCACTATCCTTCTCCCACCCCCACCTCCTGGGGGTACTCTACAGGCTTCACTTTCCACTCACATCTGCAGCACTGGCATCTTTCTCTGCAGAGCTCAGGACCCTCCAATCCAATTACCTTCCAGCAGCTCCGAGCAGCTCCACCACTTGAATTGCCAAAGGCAGCTCAAGAGAACCAAATAACAACTCCCAGCTCCCACTATAGTTCCACGTCTGCAGGGCACTGCAAAGAATCCCTCAAGCCTTGGCCTGGCCTCTGACTCTTCCCTCTTCCCTGGCCCCTTCCCAGGAAGGGATCCAGAGAGGATCCTGTCTGTCTAGGACTCCCTTTCCATTGTGAAAGCAGCCACCTCCCAGTAGACATCAGCTTCAAAATAGCAGCCCTGCCGTCTGGCTCGCCCTCTCCAATCTGTCCTGCTCACCACTGCCAGGTTCCTATTCCTCAAAGAAAAGCCAGTGAGATGCAGTCAAGACCCCTCTCCACTCAGCAAGGTGAAGCAAAGCCTGGCACTGTGATTCCAGATGGCTGCTGCTCCCCCAGACCCCTCTGGAGGTCCCCATCATGCAGGACTCACCTGCCTCCCTCAGACCCAGCCTGCTTCTGTCCCTCCTGCCAGTGCTCCAAGGGCCATCCCTGCATGCTCAGGCTTCACCAAGACTCCTCCTGCAGGAATCCACCTGGAGTGCTCCCATTCCCCAAAGGCCAGATTCACCTCTCTATGTCACGAGCCTGTTCAACCTGCCTTATTTTGTTGTTGTTCTGTTTGGTTTTGTTTTGGGCTTTTAGCAGGCTGAAGCAGGGGTTCTTAATTTCTTTCTCTAGTGATAAGCAGAAAAGAGATGAGGAAGCAGCTTTACTGGCCCAACCAGAAATAGAAACTAAGAGCCCATGACTGTATTCTCTCCCTTAGACACCCCTATGGACATCAGAGAAAGCACTCAACAGGCTGAGCGACAATCCTGGCTTTCCCACAGTCTGCAGATGAGCCCACCATCTGTTCTGTGCTTTCGCTTCTCCAACTGTGCAATGGGGATAGCAACATTCTGGTTAAATGAGGGCAAAACTTTGTTGTGCTTTGCATCTTACCCCCGGCACCTACCTGGGGCTCTTATTCAGAGAATGGCTTTCTGGCTCCTGGAGCCATGTTGCCCGCAGGCAGAGAGGCCTGGAAGGGCCTGAGCATCTCATACACACACACAGACACACACACACGCACACTTAAGATGAGGGTGAGGGTATGATGGCCCAGCTCCCTTTGCCTCGGGGACATTCCAGGGTGTAACTCACCCCCCAGAGCACCCGGAGCTCGGTCTGACATCTAGGGGTCTTCTCCGGAGGTCCCACTCAGATTCGCTTCCACCCCTGCTTCTGGCCCTTCCCTGTCCTGTTTTCCCCACCCTTCCCAGACTCCTCTGCGAGCACCTTCTTAGGAAAGACTTGTACCAGAACCCTCATTTCAAGGTCTGCTTGGAAGAAGCCTGCCCTAGACAAATGCCTACCTTGCTGCACTGTCATGGGGAGTCTGTGTAGGAATACAAAGTACCTGGTGGAGTCCCCACCATGATTATTAGCTCCCAGAGCCATCGCCACTATGCCAGTCACCAGCTTCACTCATATCCCACCAGTCATGTGCTCTCACCTACCCTTCCAGACCGTAAGCTCCTTGAAAGGGGAGACTATGGCTTCCACATCTGTGTGAACCCCATGCCCAGCACCCGTCTGGCACAGGCAGGGCTGTTGTGGGTCCTGTGGCCGTGGCTGACCACATGCCCAGGGCTAACAGCAGCCTCTCACTGGGGCCCAAAGCTTTCCCTCACTATCGCTCACTGGGGACAGATCAACAGGACCCCTCTCCCCTTGCCTGAGCATCTCCAAGGTCTTCAGGGTGGTGGGTCCTACCCAGAACTTGGGAGGGACCCACTCTGGGATGAATACAGGGGTCCGTTCAGGAATCTGTCACAAGCCCCAGCCCAGGAAGAGAGACAGGATGGAGCCTCCACCTCCACCCCACCTGGCACCCATGTGTCTTCACTACTGAGGGCAACAATGCCACTCCCTCTTGTCAGAGGCAGGACAACTGAGGCAACTGCCCTGGAACACACTTATCAAAAGCAAGGAGAAAATAAAGCCTGAAGTCCATATGCTTGTGCTCAGGTGGAAATGGTGAGTACACACAATGTACATAAAATTGACAAAGTAATAGTGGAAAACCCACAGGTGCTAGAGAAACATACGCCAGCCGCTGGGAAGCATAAAGGAGCTCATGGTGAACTGGACAATGGAGAACATGGACTGATGGGAAATGCCAGAACGGGAACCTGAGAGGGCCCAGAGAGAGCAGCCTGCACTTCTCCAATAACTACAGTGCCCAGACTCCAAAAAGGTTATTTCAAAACTGGGCAAGTGTGCAACAGTGTAAGATACATCTTATCCTCAGCATCATGTTTCAGTAAAAATGAATTGGAAAAGCATCCAACAGTACCAGATGCTTAAATAAATTATGAATAGAACCATAATGTGCTTAACCAATCTGCTATTGTAAGATATACTTTGCAGCTTTTAGAAATAAAAATGTAAGTGAATATATATTGATATGGAAGACTTCCATGATATACTGTGATGTGAAAAGTCAGACCAAAGAAGAAAAAGTAGGAATACTTCCATATTTATAAAATAAAGGATACATGGAACTTTGTAGAAAGTCTAGAAAGAGGGTCAACAAACTCAACTCAGGGGCCTGTTTTTATAAATAAAGTTTTATTAAAGCACACCCATATGCATTTGTTCATGAACTGTCTGTAGCTACTGTCAGGCCTAAGTATAGAGATGAAGAGTTGCAGCAGAGACCATATATGCTACAAACCAACGCTATTTACTACCTGGCCCTTTAAAAAAGAGTGTGTCAACCCCCGATCTAGAAGAAGAGATACAAAGATATTAATGATGTTTATCTCAAGGTACTGGGAACTTGTGTAATTTTAAATTGTTCGTTTTTTTTCCTTTATGGCTGTTTATATATTTATGTTTTCTCTGCCATGATAATGTATAATCTCCTAAAAAGCACATAGCTTAGAAAAACAATCTATTGGCCTACTTACATTAAAAATAATTTTATCAATGTTCACAAACATTTTTCCCATTTTATAGCTGAGGAACAGAGTTTGAGAAAGTTCTAGCAACTTGCCCAAAGTGCACATGAGACCCAGCCTGAGTCTGTCTGATCCAAAGACCCTCTCAGGACAAGATGTTGAGCACAACGTCTGTGATGAAAAAAGGCCTCCTGGTTCCTCTTCTGGGGAGACAGGGACAAGAGGTCCCTCCCCTAAGGGAGGCACCGCTGCCTCACAGAAGCTGGCCTGGAAGGGATGCAAGTTACCAGAGGTGCTAGGCATCAGAACTCCGCATGGCTCCCTGAGGGCACAGTGCCTGCCTCAGTGTGCTGGGCCAGCTGCAATGGGTATCAAATGTTTCCTCCATCCCAGAACACAGAGGAACCAAGGTTGGTAGGCAAAGCTGGCCATGCTGGAGTCAGAAATCAAATCTAAACCTTCTCCAAGCTCCATGGGCCCTTCCCTGCTACCTCTCACCTCTCCGACAACTCCTCCTTTCCACTCCCCAGTACCCAGCAACCATGATGCTCCAGCCAATCAGAAAGCCTCACACTTCCCCACTCAGAGCATCTTATTCCAGGCATTTGCACCTGTGGATTCCTTTGCATAAAAGTCCTTTCCCTCCCCAGCTGCCTGGAAAATTCCTATTCATTCTTTAAAAGAAAGAAGACAAACTGAAAACTCGCTGGCCACATGAAGCCTGCAAATGCATTTCCTCAGACCCATGTGGCATCATAAAAATAACATTTTATATTAAAAATTGAGATTCCCATTCTTTCCAGACTGAGCAGAAAATCTAGTAACGCTCATCCCACATTACCATGTAGCAGCCAGAGGCTGTGGCTCAGGAGCAGCTGTTCTCTTTGCACGGGGTGCATGCTTCCCACTTGGCTGAGCACCCCACTAGGGCCACCACCCGGCCTCCCTCACTGGCCTCCATAGACATCTATCTGAGATTGCAACCCTCTGGCAATCCTCTGGCACAGTGGTTCTCCAAGTGTGCTCCTGGACCAGCAGCGTCAGCATCACCTGGAAATGTGCTAGAAATGCAAATTCCCAGGTCTGTCCTAGATCTACTGAGTGAGAAACTCCAAGGTTAGAGCCCAGAAGTCTGTGCTGCAGCAAGCCCTCCAGGGGATTATGATACCTGCCCCTCTGAGAACTTCTGCTGCAGCTCTGTGGACTCTGGTCCAAGCAGCAAGGCCAATCTGTGCCCTCTGCCACCCTTCTCTACCTCATACCCCCATCCTTCCGGCCTTGGCTCCAGCACAGCTGAGTCCTGGGCCAGCTCCCAGCCACATGCATTCAAATTCTGTTGCATGCACTCCCCTGCCCTGTGGCCAGGTGCTCTTTACCTGTCTATTTCCTAGCCAGTGGGATCTTTTGGGGCAGGAGCTATTTCTGATTCCTGCCTCCCTAGCACCTAACACAAAGCCAGGCCCTTAGTCAGGGCTCAGGAACTTCTGCAGAATTAAACTAATTCACTTGGTGATTATTTATACCCCTCTAATTTGGAGCAGCAAGACTGACCACGAGGCAGCCTCAGCCCTCTTATGTCTGGCATGACAAGGATGGTGACAATCAAATGCTTGCAGCTCCAAGGAGAAGTGATATTTCAGCAGAAGATGAAGTAATTCCTATTCAAAGCATCTGTTAATCACTCAAGATCCTTCTAGATGTGAGGGGCTACAGAATGAAAGGTGTTATTAATGAAACTGTACAGACTGGGAGGCAGTTCTGAATAGCAGCCCTCCTTCCTAACAATGCCTTTCCCTGCAAGTTAATCCCCTGACATTATTTTAAATTCTTCAAGTGCTGGAGAAGTCATGTAAGTTGTTTTCCTGAGTAGTCACTTAGCTGACAAGCATTTTCTAATTGACAGAACATTCTGAAAAGACAGATTAAAGAGGGGGAAGAGCGGTATTAAGATGGTGCAATTGCCCACACATAGCAGGAGGCTGAGTTGACTGAAATGTAAGACTCGATTCGGAAGAAAGTTATTTATCACATCCCCCAGCCCGGCAGCCCCTTCCCAGAGAGACGAATTCAGGGATGTTGCTCCACGGTGGCTCCGACCCAAGGACCTGCCAGGAGGGACTGCACACATCCCACAAGCTCAAACCCAAGCTGGGAGTTGAAATCCAGGAGTGATAATAAGAACTGTTACTGACAGTTGAGCAGCTAATATGTGTCTAGAATTTTCCAATGGGCTGTGTGCCAGGGGTATTACAATTTTTAGCCCTAAGAGAGGACACTCATCCCCATTTTCCAGATGAGGAGACTGAAGAATGCACCCAAGTACCCAAGTTCACACAGTTTATAAGTGGCAGAGCTGAGGGAGGTCAAACCCAAGTTTGTATCCTGGCTCTGCCCATCATGCTATGGAAGCTCAGCAAGTTCCTTAACCTCTGAGTCTCTGGCCCATCAGCTGCAAAACTGGGTCCACAATACTCTTGCAGGTGTGATGTGATATAATGTGATATGCTCAGCAAATGATAACTCAGTTAACAGCCTCTGAAAGCAACACTCTTCTGCAAATTCAAGCCATTGCCTAAGTTAGGAGGCTCTGTGTGCTCTTTCCTGTCATCAGGCCACCTCCTCCCCTTTAAGGAAATGTGCCTAGATGTCACTGCAGAGTGGCAATGGGCTTAGATGGCAAACACCAAGAGCCACAGCCCAGAACGCTTGGTAGGGGCCGCGCCGGCACAAGCATCCCATAGGTGCTGGTAGGGCCTGGGGCTTTCCGCGGGCCACTGTCACACCTGTCATGAAGCCCTTGAAACTACAAAGCCTCCAGATAGGACTCACCTATCAATCACCCCTTCCTTAATAGCGCATAGAGCTGATGGAATCCCCCTTAATGGTCCTCAAACCATGCACACTTTGAACAACTAATGAGGCACGCAGGATGCCTTCGCCATCTAATGTTTTCAGATTTCCTAGCGTGAGATAATGCCACTGACAAGGGAGTATACACTGAGCCGTCCCAAGTACTGATAAGGTGTTAATAAACCTTAGCAAATGCTGATTAGAGGCGGCTCCAGCAGTACAGAGCCTCCGCGCTCTGCATGCACGCTGGAGGGTTGGCCAATTAAACCTGGGGAGCTTCTCAATTTGGAACTGATCCTGAGACAGCAGCAGCCTGCATCTCCACCACTTTTGAGTCACGAGGCAGGTCAGGCTTGCCCTGTGGCTAGTCCAGGATATTGCGCACCAAGGGACTGCGTAAGTAAAGAGCGTTTCACAGACCTCACCCCAAAAAGCCAGAGAATCTACAAACTGGGAGGCATCAGGTATTTGGGAATGTAGTTAAAACTTTCTTGAGCATGCTTATATTTACAGCTGATTTTTTAAAACTCTTGGGATAAAAGGTTTTAAAATAGGCAAGGGGAAGGTGACAGGCACTGCGGTTCCCCACCCAGATCCCCTCCACCACCGGGTGTGCCCATCCCCAGCGGCTGGGGCAAAGGCCCCTGAGAACTGCAAAGGCCTCTGCCTCACACAGAAAGGCCTGGAAGGCTATGCCCTCCAACTGGGGTGGCCCACAGTCAGTGAGTGAGCACTATGGGGCACAAAACTCCAGCCCTTTAGCCTCAAGCCATGATGACTCTGTGGTGCCATTCCTATGCCAGAGCTCCCCTTAAGATCAGGCCAAGGCCTGAACTCAGCTGAGACCCCGCTGTGCCAAGCTTCCTCCCCTGCCCCATCCTGCTACCTCCACATCCTTAAGGATTTTACCAGAGAGCTCTCCCTGGATAAATCACTTCTGCAATGCCAGGCTCTGCTTCCAAGGAGTCAGACTTAAGCAGGGAGAAAAGGAGAGGGGATTAGAACTACGATTTTTGGAACACTGTTTTGTGCCTGGCTCTGTGTTAGACACTTTCCATTCACTATTTCACTAACGTTCCTCAGCAAACTTGTGGAGTATGGGAAAACGTCGCCATTTACAGATAAGGAAACTGAGGCTCGGAATGGGACAGTGACTTGGCCAAGGTCACATGGCTCCTCAGTGGCAAAGGCAAGATGTGACCCAGGTGTGGTTGATGCTGAAATTCATGCAAACATATTTGCATGTCACCACGTTACTTCCCCATGTTTACAAGGGGCTATGTGAAGTCAGGAGAAGAGAGAATGGAGCTCTAAAAAAAGATCTGAAAATATATACCAGACTGAAAGCTGAAAGACCAGCAGGGAGAGAGAAAACTTCCCCCCACTGAGGAGTTCAAATCACCATTCTGTGCGTTCCTCGCCATCCCCAAATAGAACCTTCACATATTGCTTGGCAAGAAACTAACCACTTGCCACCTCTCTGATTCCCAATTATAAAACATACCCTACATTTTAATTCAGAATGTATATTTCACTGGTCAATAGATTGAGGCAAATGTTCCCACGTGGGGCTCCTGCCTAAAGAGCTAACAGCTTCAATAAAGGTAAAGAAGCCTACTGCCAGCGACGGTGCCTCAGATACTGTCACACACGCTCCAGCTGAATTAAAATGTGCTCTGTGATGAGCGTCTAGGGAGGCAACTTGCTCAGATGGTGTCACCCAAGGACACAGGCATCCTAAGAAGGCAGATAGCCTCACTCCAATCAAAACAAAACCAACAGTGAAATGTGCCACCCCTTTGTAGGTATTAATTACTGTCCAAGTGCCCTCTCTGCTGGCAGGCAGCATGCGTGATCAGGAGTTGGGAGGAAAGAGAGGCTCCTTTCTCACGGGCTTGCCATTCTGCCTCCAATCACCCCCTGCCCAGTGTCCAGCAAGTCCTGCCACAGTCAGAAACTCCAATCTGCTCCACAGGCCCCTAGTCTCCAGCTTGATTAGACCCAACAATTTCCTGGAGAAGCTGTGGGAAGGGGGAGTATATGCAGACTGCTGGGGAAGGTTAGGTTGGGAGGACTGAGGATGGGCCAGGGAAGGGCAGGGCGTGGAGGTGTTTATGCACTTCAGGCTCTCTAATGACAGCTGCTGGCAGGAGGGGGCTCTGCTCACCTGGGCCAGGTTTGCTGCAAACCTGCCACTGCAGACACGATGATGTAACAGTTGCCAAGGGGAGGTGATGTGAGCAGAATTATAATCAGAACCCAGCTTTCAGGGGCTGGGGACCAGGGGATGGAGCTGCTCCAGACCAGAGAGCCTCGCCCTGAGAGGGCTGCAGTCAAGAGTGCTTCCCGGCCAGGCACAGTGGCTCACGCCTGTAATCCCAGCACTTTGGGAGGCCGAGGCGGGCGGATCATGAGGTCAGGAGATCGAGACCACCCTGGCTAACACGGTGAAACCCCGTCTCTACCAAACATACAAAAAATTGGCACGGTGTGGTGGCGGGTGCCTGTAGTTCCAGCTACTCAGGAGGCTGAGGCAGGAGAATGGCGTGAACCCGGGAGGCGGAGCTGGCAGTGAGCCGAGATCGCACCACTGCACTCTAGCCTGGGAGACAGAGTGAGACTCCGTCTCTAAATAAATAAATAAATAAAAGAGTGCCTCCTTCCCCGACATCCTGAACGGCCAAGAAGCTTCATCAGTAAGACCATGCTGAACCTTGTTTTCAGTGGAAAAGATGTCCGGGAAGTTACAAGGCAAGCTAGTCCAGCCAGCGTCTTCATTTCCTGTTAGCCATAACACTCCTCTATGCCTCAGCTGGGGTGTGATGTGTAGATAAAAATCATTCCTGGTGCAGAAGACCCAGAAAGCCCCAAGTGAGTGGTGCATGGGTGAGGGGAGAGGGGCCACTCACTCTTGGCCATGGGAAGACAGGGATGCCGAAGAAGAAACTCCTGGGTCATTGTGGGTCGTGATATGGTGCCTGTAGAGGGCAATGAGCTTGCAGAAGGAAAGCCAGGAGCCTGGGTAGAGAGGTGCTGTGGTTGTGCCAGCTCTTTGGAGTTTGAGAGACCATCTCTCAGAAGTGATGTGGAATGGAAAGCCGATAATTTATGCTTCCTGCATCTCATGCTTACCTCCCCATTGGCCTGTTATTCCTCCTCAGAGCTTGGAAGCGTTTCTGGAATTAAATTCCTCTGGGCTGGGCTAACCAGAGGAGTAACAGCCATCCAGCCTTGGAAGAAGGCATTGGGGCACTGGGAGTGTCTGTGCCAGTTGTGGAAATCAAAGCATGCACCCCTGATGGGAGCAGGGTCAGACTGTGTGGTCCATACCCCTTGCCCAGCCCCATCTCTACCAGAGAGTGTCTTTCCAGAATCAAACCTTCCATAGGGAGGCTATTTCTTCCTGGCATAAATTAAGATTATTATCTTAAATGCTGCCCTGACCAGGCTGGGATGGGCACAGGCACCAGATGCCTTTTCCTGACATCCATCCTGCCTGCCATTAGTGTCTGGAACAGGAGCTGGTGAAGGGAATCCTGCAGGGTGCCGAAGCTCCTTTCTCTCCACAGTGGACACTGGGAACTATCCATCAGCCTTCTCAGAACCTTCAGGACAGCCCACAAGAAAGCATCTCTGTGATATGACCCAGACACTTCTTCCTGGCCCCTCATCCATCCCTGCACACATGCCTACATCCACCCACTCATCTGTGTGTTAAGTAGTCTTTCAACAAACATTCATTGACTATTCCAGGCACTGAGCTAGGCCCAGCTGATACAGAGAGTAACAGGATTAATCCCATCTTGCTCTTACCCTGGAGGAGCTCTCAGGCTAATGGAGAGAAACCAATAAAGAGGGAAGCATCTGGGAAGAGAACCACTGCATGCACATCTCCCTCCCTGCAAGCCACTGAAAAGGCATTCATCTGTGACCTGCATCTCCAGGGGCCAATCCTGCACCTCACCCTGACCCCAAGCTGACACACTGCAGGTGAATTTGAAAAAAGGTGGCCTCTGGGTGTGCAACCCTCAGCTTATCTGCTTCCAGTATTGAGGTAACTTATGTGAATGTTTTTCATTGCTTTGGCTGATTTTAAAATTCCAACAAGAATAACTGCTTAGGAACAGGCTCAATTGGAGAATGCCCCCGCTTCACAATAGGCACACACAGGTACAGACAACCCATATCCAGCCTGTGCTGAGAGAGCTCACTGGGACAGCAGGGAAATGGGCTCACTGTCCTGGGAAGATAGAGCAGACCTGCTGCCACTCAGAATGTCCACCCCACCTGGTATAACTGCACAGATCTCAAATGCAACAGGCTGGTAGCACAATGACTTGCATCCTGGCTCTGCCTTTCATGTTATAGAAGCTCGGCAAGTTCCTTAACCTCTGGGTCTCTGGTCCATCATCCACAAAACTGCGTCCACAATACTCTCACAGGTGCAACGTGATATAGCGTGAGATGCTCAGCAAATAATAACTCAGATTACAGCCTCTGAAAGCAACACCTTTCTGCAAATCCAAGCCATTGCCTTTTTCTAGTTTTGCCCTTGCTCCATTAAACTCATAAGCCTTCCTTTTTTAGTAAGCCAACATTGACATCTTTCTTTTTACAGATGATAACAAATATTTTCAGAGCACTCATTACCTGCCAGGTTCTGTGCTATAGGCATGCTGAGGGAGGTGGTGGGGAGGTGGGGCAAGTGCAGCCTTGAAGAGCTCATGGTCTACTTGGAGATACATAAATGATCCATATTGTGGTGCATATAATTTGGGATCTAGTAAAGGAGAGGGAAACCCAGACTACCATGAGAGGAACTGCCCCAGCCAGTGGGAGAGGTGGTCAGGAACAGCTTCCTGGAGGAGGAGGCAGAACCTGAGTAAATGTTGAAGGGTGAAAGGAATAGTGAAGTGAAAGAGAGTGGGAGGCAGAGACACCTGCGTGAGCAGATGCCAAGAGAGGGGAGAAGGGGCTGGTGCGAGGAAGAAACTGTGAGTCATTTGCTGTTACTGTCAGGTGAGAGGAAGATGGGAGGAACCGGGGGTGAAGGAAAGGTAGCCTAGTCTCTAAGGGCCTTCTGGGAGCTAAAGGAGCAGGACATTATTCTGGGGTCGTCAGGAAGTGTGGATATGTTTTATGCAGAGGAACAAGGTAAGTTTTATATTTCAGACGTTCAAGTTTAAGGTAGTGTCTGGCAACAATCCATACCTCAGTCAACTTTCCTCCAAAAAAAAATCTATCATAGCTCACACGAGGATGAAAATGGTAAACTAAGATTTATCACTAACCAAGGGCCAGGTGCCAGGAGAAGCTTCTGCAATTTGAAACAGGTAGGGAGCTAAAAGAAGACTCATGGGAAAGGCAATGTCCAGCCATTTTTCGGGCCAGTCGATGTTTTTTCTCAGACAATACAAGTTATTTCCTCATCTTACCCAGAGGAGTCCATAACTACTCTTTCGTTTTTTTTTATTTTATTGGGTAAAGAAATGTAAACACATCTCAGGAAATACAGATACGTTTTCAGTAGCAGAGGTAATTAAAGATAGCAGTATAGAAATAAAGTAAGATGAATTCTTTCCAAATTAGTAAGGAGAAAATAATTACCCTCAAAAGCCCAAGGGAGCTCGGTCTGATTAGCACATTGAACATCTCTCCTTTTTAACGTCAGCTTTTCTTCATGGGTTTTCATCCACCTACCCCACCCCTTTCCACGGTCTCAGACCTAACTCTACACCAAGGAGATAGTATAGGGCCTTTGCTAGTGTACAAAAACAAGTGGTTTACTTGTCCTCACTGCACACACACTGCTGCAGTCTAGGAAAGGCGCAGGTGCCTGTATAGCACACGCTAGTGCCTACACAGCACGGAGGTGAGATGAAATGCTTTTTAATTCTGTTATGTCATCTACCCAATGCCAAAGCCATAATATTTGGAAACATGAAGATAGCTGATGGAATTTTTCCAGAAATTCTCATCCAGATGTGTGGCTTTGTGAGTATTGAGAATAAAGAATAAATAAAGAGCTACAACCTCCACTCATGTTTCCAGTTTGTAAGTTGTTTGTTAGTAATTAAAAAATCTTTGTTTGTTGAAGGGATTTAGGAGGAGGCATTAACACCCCCAGATATTGCAGTAAGTGAAATAAATTCTGATTAAAATGATTAGCCAAATGGAGACTCCAGAAACATCTAAACAGACGAATCCATACTCATCACACAGCCTTTCTCTCCAACAGAGCACCCCTGAGGGAGGGACCAATTTATTCAGCACAACCTCCTTTCAGTTACACTCCAGCTCTGTGCAGCAGGGGGACTGGTGTTTATTCCCTGTTACACACTGGGGTAGGGTGAAGCCAGACTTCATCTGTGTGCTGGGAGAGTAGCCATCGCACAGAAGCCACTGGCTTCTTCCTGGGACAGTTTTGCTTTCCATTGTGCACCCCAACAGTATAACTGTCTGGTGGGTTCCCTGGGGGTGTGGTTATGCAGCCTGGAAACAGGGTTTGCTAGTGATGATGTTTTCTTGCCTCCTGCTGGAATGATCCAGGGGGTGAAGGAGGCTGGGCCCGGCCCTGCTGGCAGGAAGCTGGCATGCACACCTGTCTTCCAGGGACAACTAAGGGCACTCTCAAGCTCCATTGAGCTCCGGATCATAAGGTGGGCACCACTTGATGCCAGGGTGAAGCTGCCCAAGGCACCACGATCAGTGATGAAACATCATCACTTGGCTGGAATCCTCAGAGCAAGATTAAGGACCTGGACACAACAGAGGGTCAAAAAGAAGAGACCCACATGCCCTGCCTGGCTGACAGGACTGAGCACCTGGGCTCTCTCTCCTCTTGCTCAGAGATATGGACAGTCAGGACCGCAGCAGACAGGCGCTCTGGTTTTAAACAAATGCACCCAGGACAGAGCTCTCCATCTGACCAGTCTGGGGGAGGGTGGGGGAAATTCCCATTATTCTGAGTAGAAGTAGCCAAGAAATCAAGTGACAGCCACTTTGAAGAAGTGGAGATAGCTCAATAGTCCATCTGTTCAAAACAAATAGTAGACAAAAATAAATCCCTCTCCACTTTCTTTTTTATTATTTTCTTACGTGCGCAAATGTATGGGGTGGGTGAGAAATTTGGTTACTTGCATGTTATGTGTAGCGATCAAGCCATGGTGTCCATCACCCAAGCACAATATGTTTTTGTTAAGTATAGTCACCCTGCTCTGACATCAAACATTGAATTTATTCCTTCTATCTTTCTAAATGTTTGTACGCTTTAATCCACTTCTCTTCATCCTCCCCTCTCCCTCCCACTCGTCCATCTCAGTCTCTGAGAACTATCATTCTACCCGCTACCGCCACGTGTTCAAATGTTTTCATTCCCACATATAAATGAGAACATGTGATATTTGCCTTTTTGTGCCCGTCTTATTTCACTTAAGATAATGACCTAATTTATGCAATGACATAATTTCATTGTCATTGATGATGAAATTGACATAATTTGCAAATGACATAATTTCATTCTTTTTATGGCTGATTAATAGTCCACTGAGTATACCACATTTTCATTATCCATTCAGCCACTGATGGACACTTAGGTTGATTCCACATCTTTGCTATTGTGAACAGTGCCACAGTAAACATAGGGGTCAAGTAACCCTTTGATATAATGATTCCCTTTCCTTGGATAGAACTCAGCAGTGCTCCCACTTTCTGAGCCCTGAAGAGCACTCTGATGGAAAGGAATGTGTTATTAAAATTTGGCTTCAGCTTTTACACAGAGATGGTGCAGGACAGGGCTCCATCTGCCCTTGAGAAGTGTTCAAATGAATGAATGATGGGATGAGTGTCGATGTATGAATGATACAGGGAAGGAGGAAGTCATTGAATATTATTGTAGTTGCTGAATGAATGAACAAATGAAGTGCATAATGTGTGAATGAGCAAATCAGTGTGGGAATGAGCCACTGAGTATCACTGTGCAGCTGAATGAATGACCAAATGCACAAAAGGAACGAGCAAGCTTCACTAAGCATGACACCCCACAGTGAGAGGCCTGGGAGGAGAGTCCAGCTCAACTCACCCACCATGGTCCCCGCGGAAGGCTCCTCGTTTGTCACTGTCCCACCCTGCCAGTTTGACTCAGTATGAGTTGAATTGTGTCCCCTTCCAAAATTCATATGCCAGAGTTCTAACTCCAGTACCTGCGAATTTGGCCTTATCTGGAAATAGGGTTTTTACAGAGATAATCAAATTAAAATGAGGTCATTAGAGTAAGCCCTAATCCAACATGGCTGGCATCCTCATAAGAAGGAGAAATTGCGAGACAGACACAGGGAGAAGGCCATGGGAAGAAGAAGCCAGAGATCAGGGTGATGCTGCCACAAGCCAAGGAAGGCCAAAGGTTGAGCAAACCCTCAGCAGCTAGTACAAAGGCAGGGACAAATCCCCCTCACAGCCCTCAGAAGGAACCAATCCTGCCAACACCTTGATCTTGAACTTCCAACCTCCAGAACTGTGAGATGATACATGTCTGTTGCATAAGCCACCCCATTTGTGGTACTTTGTTACAGCTGCCCTAGCAAACTATCCCACAGGCACAGCAAGGTTCCTCCAGGTGCTTCCCATGCCTAGACACTGCCCGTGGCCACCATAAATCAACAGGATGGAGGGCTTGTATTGGAAGAGATGTCCAAGGGGAGGCAAGCATGAGGCACATGGCACTTCCTCAGAGAACACGCAGAGGACCCTCTGCTCATAGGCAAACAGAAAACACCACATACAGTGAGTTTGGCCAGGAATGTAAGGAAACTTCAGATGAAATTGTATGTGAAGGGCACCATAGGGCAGCTAGAAATAGGCCTACCACTGGGCCTCCCCAGCACACGAATGGCTGGTGTCTTGACTCTCCCCACGGAGCCAAGCAAGTTGGGGCCAAGACTCATGCTGGTATCCCCAGCTCATGCCCTAGGCATGGCACCTAGTAGGTGCTTAGTAAAGTTTTAAAGGAGAGAGGGAAGCAAGGAGGAAAGACTTGTGAAATCTAAATCAAATGGCCCCTATTTTCTGGGAAAGGCTCACCTATTCTCAACTTGTTATTAGCTGCCACAAGTTCTATCAGATTAAACATGGGTAGGACATGGGCAAACATTTTTAATAGTGATCTATCTATTTTAATTAATTATAATTGGGTAAACATTCCCTGCTAGTATATCCAAGCCATGATTTCAAGAAAATTATGATTGAGGATGAGACAACATTTAAGTAATGAAACAGTAAGTTTAAAGAAAGAAACAGTAAGTAATTAACAGGTGATATGAAGATATGATAAAAATGTGGAAGTCGGTCATGAATCACTGGAGTTCAGGCCAGCTGGTCTGGGGTACCTGAAGCTCGGCAGCTGCTGCTCTCAGCAACAGTCTGGCCAAACCTGATGTATTAGTCAGGCTTCTCCAGAGAAACAGAACCAGTAAGAAGTGTGTGCATTGAGAGAGGAAGAGGCTTATTTTAAGGAATTGGCTCATGTGATGGCGGAAGCTGGCAAGTCCACAGTCTGTGAGGGGGGCTGTCAGACCGGAGACCCATAGATGACCTCATGTTGCAGTTCAAGTTCAAAGGCAGTCCTCCGGCCAAAATCTCTTGTGCTGGTTGGAGGTCAGCATTTTGGGCCATTCAGTCCTTCAACTGATTAGGTGAGGCCCACCCACATCATGGCGAGCAATCTGTTGGCAGGATTGGTTCCTTCTGAGGGCTGTGAGGGGGATTTGTCCCTGCCTTTGTACTAGCTGCTGAGGGTTTGCTCAACCTTTGGCCTTCCTTGGCTTGTGGCAGCATCACCCTGATCTCTGGCTTCTTCTTCCCATGGCCTTCTCCCTGTGTCTGTCTCGCAATTTCTCCTTCTTATGAGGATGCCAGCCATGTTGGATTAGGGCTTACTCTAATGACCTCATTTTAATTTGATTATCTCTGTAAAAACCCTATTTCCAGATAAGGCCAAATTCGCAGGTACTGGAGTTAGAACTCTGGCATATGAATTTTGGAAGGGGACACAATTCAACTCATACTGAGTCAAACTGGCAGGGTGGGACAGTGACAAACGAGGAGCCTTCCGCGGGGACCATGGTGGGTGAGTTGAGCTGGACTCTCCTCCCAGGCCTCTCACTGTGGGGTGTCATGCTTAGTGAAGCTTGCTCGTTCCTTTTGTGCATTTGGTCATTCATTCAGCTGCACAGTGATACTCAGTGGCTCATTCCCACACTTGCTCCAAATCACCTACAGAATAAGCCTCAACTCCTCAGGACAGTCTCCAAAGCCCTTCCTGATCTGGTCACCACCAAGTCTTCCAACAAACCTTCTGATTCAAGAATTCCAAAACACACCCACTGCCTGAACACACCCTGCAGTCTGCAGCAACCACACCTTTGCACACCCCATTATTCCAACCTGGAGTGCCCTTCCCACTTTGAGCTCGGTCCCACCTAAACCTAGTGCACTAGGGCTCCTCTTCCAAAGCATTCCCTGCTCCCTGCAGACGCAATCATGCTATCTGCTACGTCTCCATGTGTGTAGACATCCTGCACAGACCTCCATTCGAACACATATTGTGTGGCTATGGCCAGTGATTCGTGTGCGTTGAAAGAAAAAGGAGTCTGTCCCCACTCTAATTTGACCACTGTCCCCACCTGTAGACTGAGAGCTCTTTGCAGCCCTCTGAGAACCTATATTGGGAGCTGGATATTAGGATGGGAAGCTGAGGAATACATAGATTGAAAGCAGACAAATCATGGATGGGAAAAAAAACTCAACCTCAGCCCCACACACAGTCTGCATGAAACAGGGCATGGACATTAAGTGACTGAAGGGACAGTGACAGTAAAATGGTTCACTTGGCCTGGCCTACAAAGCAAGCCTAAGAAGCTTTGACTCCAAGGCTCACTGGGAAGGATCCTGTGAGGCTGCCCAAGGGGCTTTCAGGAGCCAACATCCTGATGCATGGCCAGCCTGGCCGCTTTGAGACTCAAGGGTTCTCCAGGACCTGGGCTTAGAGGGAACTGGCAGTGCCAGGGCCGGCACTCATGCCTCCCTTGGCAGGCCTGATCCTGCCCATCCATGGGCCATCTCCAAGGAAATGCATACGGATTGATTTTCATCTCCACAGCTAGAAGAGGGCTGTGATCATACAGCTTATCTTTCCCAGAGGCCAGGAGACAGCGACAACTCCAGGGATGTGCTTAGCAAAGCCCTGGAACGATTTTAATGGACAACACAATTGATCCATTTCTGCCTGGGCTTTTTGCCTCCTTCCAGTTTCCTGCTAAAATGCACAGCTGCTTCTTTATTGCAAAGTGTGAAATCTGTAAATTAGAAATGTCCTCTTGGGGACGGTCAGCAGCTGGCTGCCCTGGGCACAGACAGTGGGTGGAACGGGTGCTCCGCGGCCTGCAGCAGCTTCTCCACAAGCCATCCCCCTGCCCTGCCTCCTCTCACACTCTCATCTCTCTGTCACATAAACCTGGGACTCATACCTTCTTTCTCAAAAGACTTCATGTTCTCAAAAGCCTTGCTTCCTGTCTTGTCTTCCCTGAGCAAGGAATAAGACATGAGATTGATAATGGGAACACACAGCCCTGCCTTCAGCACCGGACCCTTCCACTGTTCAAAGAACGCTTGGGGGCCTAGGGCTGGCTGGGCAATGGGAGCCAGGCATGAGGGCTCGGGAGAGGCAGGAAGGTGTCTGGCCCCAGCCTTCTCCATGGAACCTAGGACCCCCAGCCCCCTGGCCTTGCAGCTAAATCCCTGGGACTGTGTTTGCCTTCCCCCAGCACCCAGCATGGATGCCCCTGAGGGGAGCCAGCAAGGGTTTCCTCTCTTGTGCAAACCTGACAGGTAGACTCCCTGGACCCAGCTCTATGTCAGAAGCTGTGTAGACTCAGGTCCACCCTTAAGGGGGCTCAACAGGCATAAGGGAGACCTCCTCTGGCTGGGACGGAGCTACCCCCGTCAGCACAGCACTCAGAAACTGGGTAACAGCCCAGCAGCTGCTCATCCCCCGCACACAGCATAAACAGACTCCCTGTTGTACCCAGTACCTTGAACTGAAGCAGCACAGGTTTCAGAGAGGTGAGTGTGGGGACATGGGGCCCAACACTTCCAGGAAGCCCATTAGCAGCTCAACAGCACCAGCTGAGTCACAGCAGCCTCCTGGAGCGGCCTGTTGAATTACTCAGCCCTGTTTTAGCAAATGGCCTGGATAGGGGCTGATTACCCTTTGAACACAGTTCCGAAAAGGAATCTCTGAAGTCATCCTGGTTCTCCCTGATAAAGGCTGAATGTTCTAGGCTGGTGGGGGCAAGGGCTGCCTGCGAGTCCCTGGGGCTCCTCACTGTAGATGATTTAATCATGCATTTCGCTCCAGGGCTCCAGGGCTCCAGGGCTTAGCCAAATCAAGGGGCTTGGGCACTGGGTTGGAGGGAATAAAACATCCATCAGACCAGGAAGTGAGGGAAATAGAAGCCAAGAAAGAAACCAGGGTCCACTTTGAACACAGCTGTCTCAGTCAGCAGCTCCTTAAAAGAAATGGAATGTGACAGACACCCGGCTCCAAATCCCAGCACCAACCCTGGGTGCCCTTGACCAAGTCATGCAACCTCTCTGGGCCTCCGTGTCCTCCTCTGTCCATGGTGATAAAAAGCACCTCCATCATGCGGCTATTTTCAAGATCAAACGAGTTAATGGGTGCAAAGTGACCAGAGCATGTCAGACACTTAAACAGGGTCACTTCCCCCTTTGACCTAACAGTTATAGAGTAAATTAACTCCCACTCTTCTTTAAGCGGACGTTATTTCCTTTCTGTAGACAATACTCTGGTTAACCTCCCTAGCAGTGGGTGCAAGGGGCAGGAAGGTGAGAAGCAGCTAGCAGGGAAATCTGAAAGGACCATTCGGTAGAGGAGGAAACCCAAAAGGGAACCATGTCCCAAAGGACAAGTGCAAGGAAGTGACCACCATGGCCGAAGGCTGTTAAGAAACGGAGTAAGGGCCTGGCACGGTGGCTCACGCCTGTAATCCCAGCACTTTGGGAGGCTGAGGCAGGTGGACCACCTGAGGTCAGGAGTTCGAGACCAGCCTGGCCAACATGGTGAAACCCCGTCTCTACTAAAAATATAAAAATTAGCTGGGCGTGGTGGCACACACCTGTAATCCCAGCTACTCAGGAGGCTGAGGCAGGAGAATTGCTTGAACCCGGGAGGCAGAGGTTGCAGTGAGCCAAGATCGTGCCACTGCACTCCAGCCTGGGCAACAGAGCAAGGCTATGTGGAAAAAATAAAAGAGAGAGAGAGACAAAAAAAGAGAGAGAAAAAGGAAAGGAAAGGGAAGGGAAGGGAAGGGAAGGGAAGGGGAGGGGAGGGGAGGGGAGGGGAGGGGAGGGGAGGGGAGGGGAGGGGAGGGGAGGGAAGGGAAGGGAAGGGAAAAGGGAAAAGGGAAAAGGGGAAAGGAGAAAGAAAGAAGGAAGGAAGGAAAAAAGGAAGAAATGGAGTAAGATGAAGCCCAGGGTTTTTCACCACTAGGTTTGGCCCCCAGGAGCAACATCTGTAGGATGCCCGGCATCCTCCTGATTGGAGAGTGGAGTGTCTGAGTGGGAGTCCCCAGAAGCAAACTCTGACACAAGGAGTCAAGTGCAAGAGGTACATTTGTGCTACGCAGGGAAAACTGGGGGGATTAGGCAAGTGGGAAGGAAAAGCAGCACACTAAGAAATCTCCACACAGACGACTGGAGCTTCCTCTAGTAGGGAAACAATGCAGAATTTGGACCGCCAGATTTTACCACCAAGGGACAGGGGACAGGGTATCTACACACCAACTCCAACCATCTCTGATTGAAGAATGCTCCCAGGTAGACTAATTCCCTCACTTCCAACCTGCTCTGAGTGCAAGCAAAACATGGCCTTTAAGGTTCCAGAAAAAGCCCCAGACACAGAGAGGCAGATGCTGCAGAGCCCACTGACAAGGGAGAGGAGGAGGATGGGCGGTGATCACTGCCAGCATCTGCTGCAGAGGGGTTCCTGAGAGAATGGGAAGAGCTGCAGTGGAAACAGCAAGTAAAGGTAACTATCTCATTATTATTATTATTATTTTGTGATGGTCTCATTCTGTCGCCCAGGCTGGCCCAGGAGTTCAAGACAAGGTTAACTATTTTGAAGAGTTTTGCTCAAAGAGGAGCAGAGAAATGGGGCTGGGGATGAAAATGGATGCAAAGAGGGCCGTGCAGAGATGGTGGGTATTACAGTGTGCCTGAGAGCTGACTGATATGATCCATTTGAAAAGGAGAAACTGACAATGCAAGAATTCCACCCTTATGTAGGTGACAGGGAATTATTTCTAGTATCCAAGGGGTTGCCTTTAGAAGGAGCACACGGTGTTTCTGCTCAACATCAGACAGAAGAGGAGGCTCATGGCCACAGACGATGGAAGCTGATAGACATGGCAGTGAATGCACAGATCAGCTCTGCCCTCATCATTCCCGTTTTCTCAGTAAATTAAAAAGCAAAGTCATTGTGTTTATAGCAGCTTTGTCCACAATTGCCAAAATGTGAAAGTAACTAAAATGTCCTTCAGTAAGTGAATGAATAAGCTGTGGCACATCCAGACAATGGAATATTATTCAGCACTAAAAATAAATGAGCTATCAAGCCATGACAAGGCACGGAGGAAACTTAAATGCATATTGCTAAGTGAAAGAAGCCAATCTGAAAAGGCGACATACTATATGATTCCAACCATATGACATTCTAGAAAAGGCAAAACTATAGAGAGAGTAAAAGAATCAGTGGTTGCCTATGAATAGGCAGAGCACAGAGCATTTTCAGGGCAGTGATATTATTCTGCATACTACTAATAATGGTGAACTTATGTCATTACACATTTGTCCAAACCCATAACATTTACAGCACCAAAGAGTGAATCCTAATGTGAACTATGAACTTTGTTAATAAGAATGTACAGATATTGCTTTATTGGTTGTAACAATTATACCACATTAATTCAAGATATCAATAATAGAGGAAATTGGGGGAAAGTGAGGCAGTTACATGGATCTCACTGTACTTTTTCCTCAATTTTTCTGTAAACACGAAACTGCTTTAAAAAGTAAAGTCCCTTAATTTTCTCAAAAAAGGAAAAATAATAGCAAGACGTAACTACAGAAGAAGCAGTTTCAGAGGTTTGAGGGGAGGGAACACGTGATATAAATAGCCCTGGGCAGTGCAGTAGAATAATCCTGCAGCATGAAGGACCCATTTGAGGGCAGGTGGAGTTCCTAGAGGCCAGTTGCAGCCTGGCTATGTGTTTTCTGCCAACAGCATTCCATTGCCCAGGGGCAGCGGCAGGTGCAGAGCAGGGAGGGAGTTGGGTTTAAGCAAAATTGTGGTTGCTCTAGGCAAGCATGCCTCCTTGGAAATTCCCCTGCACCCTGTCCTCATCATCTCTCACCTGGGCCATTGCAATAACTTCTAACTGGTCCCTCAGACTCCAACCCATCCCCATGTTACTGCCAGAGACAGCCTCAAAGAAAACTCATCCAACAGGGCCACTGCCCCTCTTCCCAAGTTCTGGAGGTGCCCCGTTTCCCACAGGATAAAGCACAGGCTCCTTCACACAACCCACAAAAACTTTTTAGCCCCCCAGGCCAAAGCTGACTCTCCAACCTCAAGTCCCCACCCTACGCCTCCCTCTGCCCCACCACTCAGTGCTGCCCAAACCATGACTCTGCACCTGTGTACAGATTGTCCCCTCTGCCTGCACTGTCCTGCCCCCTTTCTTTGCTTCCATTCTCTGAAATGTGGCTCAAATGTTTCCTCCTTTGTAGTGTGTTCCCAGCAGGCAAGGACAGAGCGGGTGGAAGCAGCTGATGATCTCAGCTCTGGGTTTCTGTTTCTATTCCTGCAAGGAATTGTCTGCCTTTTCACTCCACTAGACCAAGAGTTTCTGGAGGATGAAAGATGTCACATTGCTCATCTTTGTCACTACACCCAGCACAAAGCCAGACACATAGTGGGGGCTCAGTAAAGTCTGTGAAATGACTGAGTGAACAGGTGAGTGCAAGTGGACTGAAATGTCACGTGGCCTGGCTCCCATCTGAACTTGGAATTCAAAGCAGCATTTTCTTCTCCCCTTGAACATTATATTCTCATGCAGTTGTATCTAAAGCATCACTTATTGGGAGATGCCCTTTCTTAGAAGGGTACCAGGGCTCTCGTAGCGGTTGAGGACTGGCGGGGAGAACTTGTCCCTGAGTGTGTGGCCACCTGGGAGCTCCATGCCATCGTTTCCATCTTCTAAGCCCAGCGTGGTGTCGCTCATGCTATCTCCTGTGCTGCTGTAGAACAGCAGTGAAGTGCATGGTGGTTTTGCACAATGTGACACACAGTTGGTCTCAACCGCAGCCAGTGAATTTCGCTCCTCGCTGTCATGAGACAACTGTTGTCAAGAAGTCTGATCCTTAAATCTTGTTTCAGAAGCGGACATTGCACGAAGCGATGGGGAACAACTACAACTTATATTCCTTTTCCAAGTGATAGTAAAAGTCCATCCTATCTTCAGATCCAAGTCTCTGGTCCGTTCTGAGAAATGAAGGGTCTGTCATTAAATCACAAGGAATATAAGTTATGTCGCTATCTTCATCCCTAGGAAGAAGAATGATAAATCTGCCAGCATTACCTTCAGGAATCAGGTCACCTTGGCCAACACAGCCAATGACCTCCACTCAGCATGCACCCTGCAGGCAGCTTTCCACCTGAATACCCCAATCCAGTGCACACCAAACTCCAGTTCAGCTCGTAAGTTGTACTTGCGTGTTTTCAGCCATGAGACTTTGCAGCAACAGGAGGCTGCTTTCTAGGGTTGCACCCACACCCACAAAAAGCTTTCCAGGTGTCCCAAGGGAAGGGGCGAGGCTTCTTTCACTGCATCCGGAGTCCCTGCTGGACATCAGCCTCGGTCTGGTTGTTGTGCATCCACTCCACAAAGATGTCCTGTGTGCCTCCTGTGATCAGGCCCTGGCATGGCAGGAAGGACATGCACTGAATATCTGGTGTGTCCCTCGGGACTCACAAAGCAGTGACGGGGTAGTAGGTACACACACAAATGCAATCGAGGGAAGCCTAGGGCACTGAAGGAGGCGCCCTAGGTGCCCAGCCAGGCTGTGAGCACCACCGAAGACTTCCTGGAAGAGGTGATGACTGACCTGTGTCTTTAAAAATGAGGAGGCCTTATACTCATTAGGATGGCTACTATCAAAAGAAAGAAAGGAAGGAAGGAGGGGAGGGAGAGAGGAAGAGAGGAAGGGAGAAAAAGAAAGAAAATACGTATTGTTGAGGAGGTGAAGAAATTGGAACCCTTATGCACTATTGACAGAAATGTAAAATTTCTATCAATAAAAATTCTGCTGTAGAAAACAGTACGGCAATTCCTCAAAAAGTTAAAAATAGAAATACCCTATGATCTAGCAATTCAACACTGAACATATACCCAAAATAAGTGAAAGCAGGGTCTCAAAGAGATACTTGCACACCTACTTTCACAGCAGCATTATTCACAATAGCTAAAACAACTCAAGTGTCCATTGACGGATTAATGAATGGATAAACAAAATGGTGTCTATCCATGCAATGAATATGACTTAGCCTTAAAAAGGAAGGAAATTCTGACATATGCTACAACATGAATGACTCTTAAGAACATTATGCTAAGTGCAGTAAGCCGCTCACAACAGAATACTGTATGATCTCACTTACATGAGTTATGTAGAGCAGTCAAATTCACAGAGACAGAAAGTAGAATGGTGGTTTCCAGGGACTGAGGGGAGGGAGGAATGGGGAGTTATTGTTTCATGGGTACAAAGTTGCAGTTTGGGCTAATAAAAAAGTTCTGGAAACGGATGGTGGTGATGGTTGCACAACACTGAAAATGTACCTAATGCCCTAAAAATGGTTAACGTGGTAAATCTTATGTTATGTATTTTACCAATACGCATGCAATGTATATTTAAACAAATAAAGAAAGAAGAGGAGTTTCCAGGGAAGAGCATTTCAGGAAGAAACCCCCGTGATAAGCCTCTCTCTCACTGCTTCGATGAGCCCCAGACATGGGAGGGCAGAGACACCTACCTTTGGAGTGAGCAGGAAAAACCCCTCCAGGAATAGCTGGAGAGGCAGCCTGGAACCTTGGGTCCTCGGCTTGTTTCCCTGGGCTTTCGGGGCTCAGCCAGTGTCTGCCTGCCCACAGGGGCTCTGCCCTGCCACTGCCATTCCGTGGACCTCCAGTGCCAGCCTCAGAAGGACGGCGCAGGCACCCAAGGGCAAGAAGTTAGGGTGGAACTGGCAGATGCAGGCAAGTGTGAGAAAATGTGGAAAACAGGCATGAAAGCAGGAAAGGTCGAGAGAGCACAGCTGGTTGGGCCGGCTGAGACATGTGTACTCTCCCAATTGTACTCTCCAAGAGTCCTGGTGCTCCAGGGACCTGGGTGGGGAAGATGAATACCCTCAAAGGTAACCTCCTGCCTGACCCCTAGGAACAAAGTAAATAAAGTTGAGTCTTCTCACAGAATGAAATGGACAGTCACAGGGAACATCTCCTTTATTTCCTGGTCACCAGGAAGGCAGGTGGCAGCTCAGAGCTGTCACCTCCATCCAATGGTCTCCATATCCCTGGGGATCCCAGGGGTCTTCAGGACTTGCAGGCAGGGGACATCAGTCCGAAGGTCCCTGCTGATCCCACAGCCCGTGGCATCAAACCAGGAACAGGCTGGGGAATTAGGAAGAGTTCTGATACTCACCGAGCCCCAAGAGCAGAACCCAGGCTCTCCCACTGCCATCGGGACCCATGGCCTGGGCATTGCCCAGCATCCCGAGCTTGCTTCAGCCCATTCTTTTCTCAGGTCTCCACACCCCAGCCCAGCTGGGCCTTTCTGTTCCTCAAGCTCACCAAACTCTTTGGAGCCTCTAGTCCTTTGCACTCACTGTCCCTTCCCATCAGAGTGCTGTTCCCCATGTCCCCAGGGCTGACCTATGCTCTTCCTTCAGGCTTCAGCTCAAATCACCACCCCCAAGAAGCCCTCCCTGACCACCTAGCTATTCTCCATCACATCCCTTGGCTCCTTCCTGCCACAGAACTCACCACCCTCCACAATTGTCTGCTCCACTTATACCATCTCTGTTTATTCATTTACTGTCTCTCCTCCTTCTACTTTGTGGTTCCATGAGGGCTGGGGTCTGCTCTTGTCTGTTATTTTTGGCCTGGCACCCAGATTTGGCACTAGACACTTAGGAGTCAAAAATATTTGTAGAATGGATGAACAGATGAATATGATCTGCCAAACACTTCCGCACCCATTGTTTTATTGGATCTATCAGGAGATTGCTTTTAAATAGGAACGACTGTTCCCACCCTACAGATGAGGAAAGCGAGCCCAGGGAGACTGAGTGCCACCATCACACAGATAGTCAGCGACAGGGCTGGGACTCAAAGCCACACCTGTCTGAGGGTTCTGCAGAACCCACAGGGGGTTATAAGCAAATGAAACAATTGAGTGTGCCTGTGTGCGCAAGTGTGTGTGTGTGCAAGCATGTGTGTGCATGTATATGTGCAGGAGTGTGCACAAGTGTCCATGTGTGTGCATGGGCATGTGCAGGTGTGTACTTGTGTGCAAGTGTCTGTGTGTGTGCATATGTGCACAGATATATGTGTGTGGACAGTGTGTGTTGGTGTTTGTGTGAGTGTGTGTCAGTGCCCCCAGGCTCCTGAACATGACTTCACTTTGAAAGTCCAGGAGCTCATGGAACAGAAGGAGCTCATCTTTTTCACAGCTGTATGCCCAGGACATTCCACAGGGCCTGCAGTTGAGCATCAGTAAAAGTTGGCTGAACTAATTGCAAACTCAAGAGCTGTACATACATGCACTGTCGTTGTTTTAAGTTCCTTTGCTTTCTTGCCTGTGTATGTCAAAGGAATGAACACACCTGAGTCTCTAGAGACAAAATTACCAATAGTTTAGGGTTAAAAAATGAATGTATTTACATGGAAGGCATGGGGCATGGAACCAATACAAGCTTCTGATTCCTTTGTAATGGCTATACACACTTATACACACTTCCCATCTGGGTCTTCTCCATCCTGCCTCTATGCTCACCTCTATATTAGAAGATGGATGGATGTGTGTGTGTCTGTGTGTCTGTCGGGGGAGCTCTTGTGTCTGAGCATCTATGTGTCTGTGTGTAATATGTTAGTATGCCAGTATATGGCATGAATGTACATGTGGGTTTGAGTGTGTTTGTGTGTGTGTGTGTGTGTGTGTGTGTTGTGAGTGTCTGCATAATGGAGTCTGTGTGTGTGTGTCCGGGGTGTCTGTGTATGTGTGTGTACAGACCTGTTGTGATAGGTTGTTCCTGAGACTGTTTATACCTGTGTCTCTACAAGAAGATCCAAGTGTGTGTGTGTGTCTGTGTGTGTGTGTGTGTGTGTGTGTGTTTTCTGCCTCCCCTCCAGAGTGAAAACTGACAAGACAGAGACCAGGCCAGCTCTTTCTGTTTTCCTTCACTGGCCACTCCTATGTGTCCAATAATCACAACCAACTAATTTGTTCATTAACAGAAGGAAAGCTCAGAACACCCTTGGGTCCCTGTCCACACAATCTCCCAGTATCACAGAGATGTGCAGCCCAGCACAGATAGCACAAGGGAGAAGCTCCCATTCTCTACCACATGGCTGCTGGCCCACCTCCCTCCCAGCCCGCAACCACTGAGACCCCACCGTGCAAAGGCAGCCTAAGTTTTCATGGCTCTGCTCAGGATGGTGGTGCAGCCACCAGCTCTGGGTCAGGCCCCTATAGTGCTAGTTCCTCCCCACCCCCTCTGTCCTCTATCTGCTTATGCAGAGCACGTCCTACAGTCAGTGCAGAAGCAGGAACTGTCTGCAGAGCTCCCAACACTGGCCGCCTCTGTCCTCGCCAACAACCGCGGACTGTTCCAGCCCCACAAACGCTTCCGTGGCTTTGTATCCATTAAAGGCACAATCTTGCTCAACCAATTAATGAAGCACCTTCTCTCACCCAATTCTCAAGTTTCCCCAGAGCCAAATGTAAAGTCTATACAATAATTAACACAGCCCGCTGTTTGATAAAGGAAGGCTTACATCTTTAATAATTCTCAATGAAGGAACATCCTGTGAAGGAATTGTTTAATTAAAAGACAACAATGGGATAAAAGGTAAATAAGAAGGAAAAGAGAGAGAGGGAGAGGGATAGAGAGAGAGAGAGAGATCACATCTGTTAATTCAGAACTAAATAAATATCCCCCACTTGAGATTCCTTACTTTCTTAGAATCCAGATATACTTGTTTAGCATGCAAATGTATTCTGTCATTAAACATGTTTGAAAAATGAGCAACTGTACTTTGACTAATTTTGTATCTCTCTGCTTAAAGAACAGCTGTCACGTCCCAGAGAGCATGGGGATCCCAGCTCTGAAACAGTGACTCCACTTCTCCAGGGCAAATTAGAGATTGCTGGGAGGAACTTCAGATGAAAACTTTGGGGGTTCATGGTTGAGGGCAGGCCAGAGTGGGGACTTCTGCTCCCAGGGAAATGGAGTAGACATACTTTTTCCTTATTCTCCCCACTAAGTACAACTAAAAAGCCCAAACATTGTACAGAAAACAAACATAAGAAGAGTCTGGGGATTATTCAATGAAGAGAAGAAGGCAGACCAGCTCAGGACCTCAGGACCTGAGGAATGACATGATGTTGAGGTCTGGAGTTTTCTTTTTGCCTCATATTTTGCAGACTTGCAGCAGAAAACTCAGCAACCCAGAAAGATCAATAGATGCAGGCAAAAAAAAAAATGCTATCAACAGAAGTCCTGCTCTATCTAGCCAAAGGTCCAGGAAAGGGGTAGGCTACCAAGACAGAAAACTTTCAGATAATTGCCACCACACTCCAGCCAAACACTCCAGAAAGGAAGTGCGGTTTCACCTCCCCAACACCAGCAAAGCCCGAGTGCAGATCCCAGACTCCCCATCTTCACCAGGCTGAAATGAAGTCCCCATTTGCCCAGCTGGGTCATATCCAAAAGGGTTTAGTATAGAGTCAGAATTTATACCACTGCCATAAAGAGTTCACAAACACACCGCCCCCCTACATGGTGTCAGTGAAGGCCATCTGGGGAGCAGTAACGATGCATCCCTACTTCTCCCAGCCAGGGAAGGGTCAGTGGTGGCTTCAGTAGGGAGCCAGAACTTCCACATCTTCCCAGCAGCAACACAGAACCTCCACCTCAGGTTTCAAAGGAAACCAAGAGGAGAACCTGGACTTCATTTGGAACCTGGAACCCTCATTTGACAATAATGAGACAGCAACCCCCTCACCAGAGTAGTATCAGAAGAAACCAGCTAAAACAGAAGGCGTAAGGAAGACCCATGAGCCTCATAACGTAATTCCCCAGAATTTCCAGGTTTCAAATGAAGATCACTATTCACACAAAGATCCAGGAAGAACTCAAACTGAATCAATCAATAGATTCCAGCGCTGAGATGATGAAATCATAAAGAACAATCTGACAAAAATTTTTAAACAGCTAGCATAAAAATGCTTCCATGGGCAATTGCAAATGTATTTGAACCAAATGAAAAAAGAAAATCTCAGCAAGGAAATACAATATATAAAGAAGGACCAAACAAAAAAAAATTTTTTTTTTTTTTGAGACGGAGTCTCATTCTTGTCACCCAGGCTGGAGTGCAATGGCGTGATCTCGGCTCACTGCAACCTCCACCTCCCAGGTTCAAGTGATTCTCCTGCCTCAGCCTCCCAAGTAGCTGGGACTGCAGGCACACGCCACCACACCTGGCTAATTTTTGTATTTTTAGTAGAGATGGAGTTTCGCCATGTTGGCCAGGCTGCTCTTGAACTCCTGACCTCAGGTGATCCACCTGCCTTGGCCTCCCAAAGTGCTGGGATTACAGGTGTGAGCCACCGTGCCCAGCCTGGAAATTTTAAAACTAAAAAATACAATAACCAAAAATAAAGCTCAGTTGAAAGAGGAGACAGCAGAAAGAATCAGTGACTAAAAGATATGGCCGTGCCTGGTGGTGACGCCTATAAACCCAGCACTTTGGGAGGTCGAGGTGGGGGAATCACTTGAGGCCAAGAGATCAAGACCAGCCTGGGCAACATGGAGAAATCCCATCTCTACTAAAAATGCCAAAAAAAAAAAAAATAGTGGGCATGGTGGTGCACACCTGTAGTCCCAGCTACTTGGGAGAACTTCTTGAACCTGGGAGGCAGAGGTTGCCGTGAGCTGAGATCACACCACTGCACTCCAACCTGGGCAACACAGTGAGACTGTGTCTTAAAAAATAAAAAATAAAAAGATATAATAATATACATTACCCAGTCTAAACAACAGAGACAGAATAGACTGAAATTTTAAAAAAATGAACATAGCCTCAGGAACCTGTGAGACTATGAAAAAAAAAAAAGATCTAACATTTGTGTCATTGGAGTCCTGGAAGGAAAGGAGAAAGAAGATGGGGCTGAAAAAGTACTTGAAGAAATAATGGCTACAGGGAAACATGACAGACAGGAGGCAGGTCAAGACTGCAGGTCTAGACAGAGCAATACAGAGGCTTGCATTGTGAATTTTAGCTCCAGATTGACTCCAAGAACAAACCAGCAATTCCGAGAGGACCCACAGACCCTCTGAAGGAAGCAAACTGCTTCTGCAGGACCCAAGAGACACCCCAAATACTGTGAATATCCCAACTCCAGAAGTGGGAAAGGGAGACCCTCCTCTCCTGAACACACCCCCACTGGAGAAGCTGAAGGTCTGTTTGTGGGAGAAGTTTCCGCCTTTACCTGGAGCTGAATCAAGTTAGAGGACCGAGTGAAATACAGGGGTATAGGAAGCAGCAGAAGGCCCTGGGAGCTCACTGGGTCCCCTAGTAGCCCATTCCTTCCTGGAACCACAGGGATCCATCAGGATGGCAGACAGAGAAGCAGGGGGTAAAACTCCACAGGGAGAAGGAATTCTCTAGCTGAACTTTTTAACAATTTGAGCGGGGTGAGAAGACTCCTGGCCAGAACTTGGGGAAGGGCACAAATCTGGTGTTCAGACTTCACAGGCTGGGCAAGAACCAAGCCCTTTTCTCTCCCAGGTGGGAGGCAGATAGCCTTGGGCAAATTTTCAAGCCCATCTCGCACTCTGCCTGGAAACAGACTCAGGGCTATTGTGGCGGGCACCGTGAGAGTGAGACCAGCCCTTCAGTTTGCGTGGGAGTTGGGTGAGGCCTGTGACTGCCAGCTTTCTCCCGCTTCCCTGACAACCTGCATAACTCATCAGAGGCAGCCATAATCCTCCTAGGTACACAACTGCAGTGACCTGAGAATCTCACCCCCATCCCCCACAGCAGCCACAGCAAGACTGGCCCAAGGAGAGTCTGAGCTCAGACACGCCTAGCCCCGCCCCCACCTGATGGTCCTTCCCTACCTACCCTGGTAGCAGAAGACAAAAGACATATAACCTTGGGAGTTCTAGAGCCCCGCCTAGCACCGGTCCCTCTCCACAGTGCTACAGCTGATGCTTTCCAGAAAGCATCACCTCCTGGCAGGAGACCAACCAGCACAAAGATAGAGCATCAAACCACCAAAGCTAAGGAATCTCACAGAGTCCACTGCACCCTCTGCCACCTCCACCAGAACAGTTGCTGGTATCCATAGCTGAGAAACCCACAGACAGTTCACATCACAGGACTCTGTGCAGACAACCCCCAATACCAGCCCCGAGCCGGGTAGACTCGCTGGGTAGCTAGACCCAGAAGACAGACAGCAATCACTGTAGTTCGGCTCACAGGAAGCCACATCCACAGGAAAAGGGGGAGAGTACTACATCAAGGGAACACCCCATGGGACAAAAGAATCTGAACAACAGCCTTAAGTCCTAGACCTTCCCTCTGACAGACTACCCAAATGAGAAGGAACCAGAAGACCAACCCTGGTAAATGACAAAACAAGGCTCTTCAACACCCCCAAAAAAATCACACTAGTTCACCAGCAATGGATCCAAACCAAGAAGAAATCCCAGATTTACCTGAAAAAGAATTCAGGAGCTTAGTTATTAAGCTAATCAGGGAAGGACCAGAGAAAGGTGAAGCCCAATGCAAGGAAATACAAAAGAATGATACAAGAAATGAAGGGAGAAGTATTCATGGAAATAGTTAGCTTAAAGAAAAAAAATTCAGGAAACTTTGGACACACTTCTAGAAATGCAAAATGCTCTGGGAAGTCTCAGCAATAGAACTGAAAAAGTAGAAGAAACAAATTCAGAGCTTGAAGACAAGGTCTTTGAATTAACCCAATCCAACAAAGACAAAGATAGAAGACTAAGAAAATATGAACAAAGCTGCCAAGAAGTCTGGGATTATGTTAAATGACCAAACCTTTATGTGCATAAAGACTCACATAAACTTAAAGGGTGGAAAAAGGCATTTCATGCAAATGGACACCAAAAGCGAGCAGGAGTAGCTATTCTTATATCAGACAAAACAAGCTTTAAAGCAACAGCAACTAAAAGAGACAAGGAGGGACAGTGTATAATGGCAAAAGGCCTTGTCCAATGGGAAAATATCACAATCCTAAACATACATGCAGCTAACACTGGAGCTCCCAAATTTATAAAACAATTACTAATAGACCTAAGAAATGAGATAGACAGCAACACAATAATAGTGGTGGACTTCAATACTCCACTGACAGCACTAGACAGGTCATCAAGACCGAAAGTCAACAAAGAAACAATGGATTTAAACTATACCTTGGAACAAATGGACTTAGCAGATATATACAGAACATTCAATCCAGCAACCGCAGAATACACATTCAACAGCGCATGGAACTTTTTCCAAGATAGACAATATGATAGGCCATAAAATGAGTCTCAATAAATTTAAGAAAATTCAAATTATATCAAGCACTCTCCCAGTCTACAGTGGAATAAAACTGGAAATAAACTCCAAAAGGAACCTTCAAAACCATGCAAATCCATAGAAATTCAATAGCCTGCTCATGAATGAGCATTGGTTTGAAAACAAAATCAACATGGAAATTAAAAAATTCTTCAAACTGAATGACAATAATGACACAACCTATCAAAACCTCTGGGATACAGCAAAGGCGGTGCTAAGAGGAAAGTTCATAGCCCTTAATGCCTACATCAAAAAGTCTGACAGAGCACAGACAATCTAAGGTCACACCTCAAGGAACTAGAGAAACAAGAACAAACCAAACCCAGAAAGAAAATAACCAAGATCAGAGCAGAACTAAATGAAACTGAAAAAAAAAAAAGACAAATGAAACAAAAAGCTGGTTCTTTGAAAAGATAAATAAAATTAATAGACCATTAGCAAGATTAACCAAGAAGAGAGAAAATCTAAATAACCTCACTAAGAAACAAAACAGTAGATATTACAACTGATACCACTGAAATACAAAAGATCATTCAAGGCTACTATGAACACCTTTATGCACATAAACTAGAAAACCTAAAAGAGATGGATAAATTCCTGGAAAAATACAACCATCTTAGCTTAAACCAGGAAGAATTAGATACCCTGAACAGATCAACAACAAGCAGTGGGATTGAAATGGTAAAAATTACCAACAAAAAAAAGTCCAGGACCAGACGGATTCACAGCAGAATTCTACCAGAAATCAAAGAATTATTGGCATCAATCCTTCTGACACTATTCCACAAGAAAGACAAAGAAGGAACCCTCCCTAATTCATTCTTTGAAGCCAGCATCACTCTAATACCAAAACCAGGAAAGGACGTAACCAAAAAAGAAAACTACAGACCGATATCCTTGATGAACATAGATGCTAAAATCTTAACAAAATACTAGCTAACCAAATCCTACAACATATCAAAAAGATAATCCACCATGATCAAGTGGGTTTCATAAATGGGATGCAGGGATGGTTTAACATATGCAAGTCAATAAATGTGATGGACAACATAAACAGAATTAAATATAAAAATCACACAATCATCTCAATAGGTGCAGAAAAAGCATTTAACAAAAATCCAGCATCGCTTTATGATTGAAACTCTCAGCAAAATCAGCATACAAGGGACATACCTTAATGTAATAAAAGCCATCTATGACAAACCCACAGCCAACATAATACTGAATGGGGAAAAGTTGAAAGCATTCCCTCTGAGAACTGGAACAAGACAAGGATGTCCACTCTCACCACTCCTTTTCAACGTAGTACTGGAAGTCCTAGCCAGAGCAATCAGACAAGAGAAAGAAATAAAGGGCATCCAAATCGGTCAAGAGGAAGTCAAACTGTCACTGTTTGCTGACAATATGATCATTTACCTTGAAAACCCTAAGGACTCCTCCAGAAAGCTCCTAGAACTGATAAAAGAATTGAGCAAAGTTTCCAGATACAAGACTAATGTGCACAAATCAATAGCTCTTCTATACACCAACAGCAACCAATCAGTGAATCAAATCAAGAACTCAACCCCTTTTCCAATAGCTGCAAAAAATAAATAAAATACTGAGGAATATACCTAACAAAGGAGTCAAAGACCTCTACAAGGAAAACACTGCCGAAAGAAATCACAGACGACACAAACAAATGGAAAAACATCCCATGCTCATGGATGGGTAGAATCAATATTGTGAAAATGACCATACTGCCAAAAGCTATCTACAAATTCAACGCAATCCCCATCAGAATACCGCCATCGTTCTTCACAGAATTAGAAAAAAAAAAAAAATTCTAAAATTCATGTGGAACCAAAAAAGAGTCCACATAGCCAAAGCAAGACTAAGCAAAAGGAACAAATCTGGAGGCATCACATTACCTGATTTCAAACTATACTGTAAGGCCATAGCCACCAAAACAGAATGGTACTGATATAAAAATAGGCACATAGACCAATGGAACAGAATAGAGAAACCAGAAATAAACCCAAATACTCACAGCCAACTGATCTTTGACAAAGCAAACAAAAAAATAAAGTGGGGAAAGAAAACCTCCCTAATTCATTTTCAACAATTGGTGCTGGGATAATTGGCTAGTCACAGGAGGAGAGTGAAACTGAATCCTCATCTATCACCTTATACAAAAATCAACTCAAGATGGATTAAGGACTTAAACCTAAGACCTGAAACTATAAAAATTCTACAAGATAACATTGGAAAAACTCTTCCAGACATTGGCTTAGGCAAGGATTTCGTGACCAAGAATAAAAAAGCAAATGCAATAAAAACAAAGATAAAAAGCTGGGAACTAATTGAACTAAAGAGCTTTTGCATGGAAAAAGGAACAGTCAGCAGCATAAACAGACAACCCACAGAGTGGGAGAAAATCTTCACAATCTATACATCTGACAAAGGACTAATATCCAGAATCTACAACAAACTCAAACAAATCAGTAAGAAAAAAAAATGAACAATCCCATCAAAAAGTGGGCTAAAGACATGAATAAGCAATTCTCAAAAGAAGACATACAAATGGCCAACAAACATATCAAAAAAATGCTCAACATCACTAATGATCAAGGAAATGCAAATCAAAACCACAATGCAATACCACCTTACTCCTGCAAGAATGGTCATAATAAAAAAAAATTTTTTTAAAAGTAGATGTTGGCGCAGATGTGGTGAACAGGGAACACTTCCACACTGCTGGTGGGAATGTAAACTAGTACAGCCACTATGGAAAACAGTGTGGAGATTCCTTAAAGAACTAAAAGTAGAACTACCATTTGATCCAGCAATCGAACTACTGGATTTCTACACAGAAGAAAAGAAGTCATTACTCGAAAAAGATACTTGCACACACATGTTTATAGCAGCACAATTCACAATTGCAAAATCATGGAACCAACCCAAATGCCAATCAATCAATGAGTGGATAAAGAAACTGTAGTATATATATGCAGCCATAAAAAGGAATGAATTAACAACATTTGCAGTGACCTGGATGAGACTGGAGACTATTATTCTAAGTGATGTAATTCAGAAATGGAAAACCAAATGTCATATGTTCTCACTGATATGTGGGAGCTAAGCTATGAGGACACAAAGCCACAAGAATGATACAATGGACCTTGGGGACTTGGGGGGAAGAGTGAGAGGGGGCAAGGGATAAAAGACTACAAATATGGTGCAGTGTATACATGGATGATGGGTGCACCAAAATCTCACAAATCACCACGAAAGAACTTATTCATGTAACCAAATAACACCTGTACCCCAATAACTTATGGAAAAAAAAGAAATAATGGCTGAAGGAGTTGCCCACAACCACAGACTGTTCCAGCCCCACAAATGTTTCCATAGTTTTATCTCCATTAAAGGCACAATCTTGCTCAACCAGTTAATTATACTGGACCACTTCCATCAGAGAAGTGGCAGCATTTTGCCCTTACTGGAATAGCCACTTAGTCCAGATACGGATTTGCTATGCCTGCACACAATGCTTCTGCAAAAGCTACCATCCGTGGACTTATCCTCTGTCACAGTATTCCACACAGCATTGCTACTGACCAGGAAACTCATTTCACAGCCAAAGAAGTGTGGCAGTGGGCTCATGCTAATGGAATTCACTGGTCTTACCATGTTACCCATCATCTTGAAGCAGCCAGCTTGACAGAATGATGGGATAGCCTTCTAAATACTTAGTTACACCACCAGCTAGGTGACAGTACCTTGCAGAGCTGGGACAACATTCTCCAGAAGGCTGTATATGCTCTAAATCAGCACCCAGTATGTGGTACTGTTTCTTCCGTAGCCAGGATTCACGGGTCCAGGAATCAAGGGATGGAAATGGGAGTGGCACCACTTACCATTACCCCAAGTGACCCACTAGCAAAATTTTTGCTTCCTGTTACTGCAACTTTATGCTCTGCTGGCCTAGAGGTCTTAGTTTCAAAGGGACTGTCCTTGGGCAACAACTCCAGGCTTCCCAGCCTTTGGACTCCAGTACTTACCCCAGTGGCCCCCTGGTCTTCAGGCCTTTGGCCTTAAAGTGTGAGTGACACCATCCACTTCACTGGTCCTAAGACCTTCAGACTTGGACTGAGCCACACTACCAGCATCCCAATGTCTCTGGCTCAAAGACAGCCTGTCATGGGACTTCTCAGCCTCCATAATCATGTGAGCCAATCCCAGACGATAGATATATAATAGATGATAGATAGATGAGAGAGGATTTATTAGGGGATTAACAAATATATCGAAAACTGCTAAAACTTCAGTTGTAATCAAAGCAATGCAAATTAAAAGAGGATGCCATTTTTCACCACTCAGTTAAAGAACATGCAGTGCTGGGGAGACTGGTAAAAGGAACACTTTTATCCCCTCTCATCTATCTATCATCTGTCTACCGTCTATCTATCTACCACCTATCTATCCATCTGTCTATCCATCTATCTGTCTACCTATCTATCTAGCTATCTGTCTGTCTATCTATCATCTATCTATCTATAATCTATCTATCTGTATCCTATTGGTTCTCTTTATCTGGAGAACTTTAATACAAACTCAAATAGAAAAATGCCCAGGATATATAGCTAAATGAAAAAAAAATGCATACTATAACACAATCTTTGTTTTAAAAAAAGAATAAATAATAACTATATGACACCATGTATGTGGGAAAAGGTGGACAGATACATATTGAACTCTTGACAGTGGTTATCTCTGAAGAGGGTGAGACAAAGCCAAGTCCACTTTCAACTGCATGTGAATCTATCATGGCTGAAGTTAATATAACTTTCTCTTGTTTTTCAACAGAAGAAAAGCATTCCAATCACTTCTTGAGAAAAAGAGACAGTAATAAATAACCAAATGTGAAACAAAAAAAAATTCCAGACATGAAGAAAATACAATCGAGTGGTTATTTTCCAGCATGGCTTATCTTCAGAAATCATCCCTTTGTTTTCCACAAAGTGGATTTTAGATAAAAATACCACACAAGATAAGTAGTTCTTTGACTCAGTTTTGCTAACCATGGCACCTCTGTTCCAGTGGCATCTGGCCTCCTTTTATATCCTCAAGTCAATGTAGTTACCATATTATGGTTCTGATATGAAAGGAGTACATGCTTACTATTAAAAGGATGATCTTAAATCACTCATATTCATCCCACCATCACACAACCATTGTTAACATTTTCTGTTTTACCTCTTTCCATATTTGGCTTTATGCAAAGATCCCTACAGAATCTTACATAGTTGTAATAAAATATGTGCATTCTTGTGTCTTGCTTTTCCCTTAGAGCCTACACAGTCATCTGATGCGATTTGGCAAGCACTCATCGGTCCCTGCAGGATCCTCTATAACTTGGATACTGTCATTGCCTTAACCACACCCCTAACATTGGCTCCTTAGATTATCACCCATTTTTTATTCAGCTGTTTTGAACAACTTCATGCAGAAAGCTTCCTTAGAATAATCCCTCTGGAGAGACTCCTAGAAATTGAATTACTGGGTCAAAAGGTACAAACATTTTTATAGTTCCAGATACTCATTACTAATTTACCTTCCAGAACATCTCCACCAGGTTACGGGCAAGTGTTCATTTTACCAAAGTCTCCCCAGCACTGCATGTTCTTTAACTGAGTGGTGAAAAACGGCATCCTGTTTTAATTTGCATTGTTTTGATTACAACTGAAGTTTTAGTGGTTTTCCATATGTTTGCTAACAAGCTGCATTTCCTCTTGTGATTTGTTTGATCATGTTCTTTGCACGTTTACCTACTGGAAATGATCAGTGTCATACTTAAGCTTCTCTAAGCCCTCTCTTTTGTCACACTTCTGCTACAACTCCCCTATTTATTGACTGCCATTGATGCCCACTTGAAATAATATTAGTAATAAAATTTCAGACCTAAAGAGCACTCAACACAAGCACACTCTGGTTTGATTTTCACAACCCTCTTCTTTGTAAGACTAATGGGATTCGTAATCCCCATTTTACAGAGCAGAAAGCAAAGGTCCAAAGTGATTACACTGGCTTTTCCAGGGTCACATAACCACTAACCACCAGTGTTGGTACCAGAACTTCTTTCAATTTCAGGGGACAAGGTAGCACAGTGGTTCTGAGTCCACATCTATAACCCAGCTCTGCCATCCCCAGGGATAACAGCAATTTCCTCCTGGGGCAGGTAAGAGTCAAATGAATCATAGATGAGGGGTGCTGAGCACCCTGCCCATGGTGACTGCTCTATAAATCCTTCATTTCACAAACACATGCAGATGCTGTTGGGGCCAAGCATCCTGATGAGCACTGGAAATACAGAGACCAGTAGTTCAGAGTCTGGCAGAGAAAACAGACGAACACACCACTACAAGAAAATCATCATGGCAGGGCCCTCACAGATGTGTGTACAAGGCACCGAGAAGCCACGACCCAGGCCCCTTGTCCCTTCACCAGGGCAGAATCTGCCACTCAAGGTCAAATTCATCTTTCTGAAGTTTCACATTGGAGCACAGTCTGGCTCCTCCAACCCAATGTCATCCATAAAGGGTCACAGACCAAATGAAATGACTCTCATAAATTTCCCCACATCCCATCCATCAAGCCCTCCCTCTGTGACTCTCCCCTGGCAGAAGGGGCCTATGCTTTTCCTGAGCATGTGTGTCTGTGATCTCCTTAGACCAGAGGCCCAGCCATCTGTCCATCCTCAGGGTCCGACTGCTTCAGAGTCTGCAGACAGCAGCTTCTCTGGGGTCTCCATGCACAGGGGCCACTGGTGGCTGGGGGTGGCACAGGACAGCCCTCAGTGTTCCAGAGGCCCTGCATTGCAACTGGCTTCCAGATAACTGGGAGGGGTATCTGGGGCCAACTTCAGCACCCTCATGGGGCTGGGGCTCTAATATCATCAGTTATTTTGACTCCTCAGGGATGCTGGTGCAGGGAAGGAGGCCAGAGCCTGGTAACTAGCATGCAGGAAGGTGTGGGGGCAGCATAGCATGGGGAGAAGTGCATGAGCTTCAGGGCAAAGAGACCCTGACTCACCAAGTGACTCTGGGCAAATAACAGCCTCTCCATGCCTCAGCGCCTTATCTCTGAAGCCAAACTTAAAGCAGATCTGGCTTCAAAGGCTTATTGTGCAAAGTATTGTAATCACACACATAACTGAGCCTTGACTCTCCCAACAGCATGCAGGCTGTAGAATATAAGAGCCTCCAATTACCGAGCACTTCTTGTGTGCAGGACTGTATTTGAAACATGTCTCATATATCATCTCAATAAATTCTTAGCATAACCCTATTCAATCATTTAGTCAAATATCTACTGAGCATTTTTCTTAGGTGCTGGAGATATAGGATTAAAAAAAAAACAAATAAATGTCCTTGTGCTCTGGTGAAACTTACACTCCAGTGAGTGGAAGACAGAAACTAAACAAGATTAATCAATGAAATGTATAATAAGTTATACAGTCAGGAGTGTTAGGAAAGCAATAAAGCAGAGAGGAGGGAGAGAAAATGGCAAGCTGGGGGCTAAAGTTTTCACAGGTTGGTCAGAGAAGCCCTCATTGGGAAGGTGATGGGGACTGTTTGGATTATTGGTAATATTCACTCCCCTCCCTGTAGGTGGCGTATACTGCACAGCTTGACTTGCTGTAGCCAATGGGATGTTAACTGGCATAGCACAAGCAAAAGCTTGAAATGTGCACACGCAGGACGTGTCTTCTTGTGCTTGTGCCATGGCCAAAAGAGAGTGTCTCTTGGGTAGCTGCTGCTCTTCCAATCTTGGCCTTGCCGAGATGCTGGCAAACAGACCCACAGCTGGAAGCAGAGCCCACCAAGCCCAGCCTGGATGAGGCACCTCCACCAACCTGTAGGGTGCATGAGATGCTGGATTCCAGTGAGACTTGAGGCTGTTTGTTATGCACCATTAAATGGTCACTGGTGACTGATAGGGGGACTTTTGGGTAAAGACTTTAAGGAAGTGAGAGAGAAGGGGCTCGTGACTATCTGGAAGTCGATTTTTCCAAGCAGAGAGGAAAACAAGTATAGAGATCCATATGCAGGGGTCCACCTGGCATATTCATGGGACAGCAAGGTAGCCTGGGTGGCTGGAATAACAGATCCAGGAGAGGAGCAGCAGGAGGTGACATCAAAGAGAGGATGAATCAGGTAAGATGTTAGAGGTTGAATGACCGTATAATTTATCACCCTAACTAGGACTTGTTTTTTAAATCAAAGTGTAATTTACATAGCAAAATGCATTATTTTGAATGTATAATCTTATGAGTTTTATAAACTTAGACAGTAATGTAACCAACACCATAATCAAGATACGGAACAGCTCCATTGCCCACAGCAATTCCTTATGGCTCTTTGTAGTGAATCCTCCTATCCCTAGGCCTGGAAAACACCAATGAGTTTTCTGCCCCTATAGTTTTGCCAATCAGGAACATCACATAATTGAAATTATGGAGTATGAGGCCTCTTGAGTGCAGCTTCTGTCACTCAGCATATGCTTTTGAGAATTATCTCATGTTGCTGTATGTAACAGGAGTTTGTTCCTGGTTTGTTTTTCATTATTCCTTTTTTTTTTTTTTTTTGAGACAGAGTCTCACTCTGCTCTGTTACCCAGGCTAGAGTGCAGTGTGGTGCAATCATAGCTCACTGCAGCCTCAATCTCCTTGGCTCAAGAGATCCTCCCACCTAAGCCTTCTGAGTGGCTGGGACTACATGGCATGCACTATGCCTGGCTTGGCTAATTTTATTTTATTTATTTATTTTTTTGTAGAGACAGAGTCTCATTATGGGGCTCAGGCTGGTCTCAAACTCCCTTTTTAATGCTGAATAATATTCCATTGTATGGCTGTACCACAGTTTGTTATCCATTCACCAGCTGAAGGACATTGGGATGGTTTCCAGTTTGCGGTTATTACAACAAAGCCGCTATAAGCATTCACAAAGAGCAAACCAGGATGATTCTGAGAACGAATATTTCTTCTGGAACAAAAGGCATAAGTGGGGACCATCCCTCATAGACCAGGAAGTGTGTTCGCCCTGCTTTGTCCACACAGGGACTCCAGCTATAACCCCAGTGAGACAGGAAGACTCTGAGCAGGGTAATGACATGATCAGCTAGAATTTTAACAGGCCACTCTGGCTGCCTCAGAATGACAAGCTGCATGGAGCAAGGTGAGAAGCAGGAAGGCAGGTCAGGAGGCTGATGCCAGCAATGGCTTAGACCAGGGACATAGCCATTGGGGTGGTGAGAAGTAATCAGAATCCAGACACATGGTGTCAGAACTGCTAATGGACTAATTATGAGGGGCATGAGGAAGAAGCAGCAAAGACAGCATCAAGATGTTGGGCCTGGGCAGCTGAAGAAAGGGTCACAGGCCCATTTCACAGAGATGGCTTAGTGTGGACAAGGCATTACCCCATGCCCACTCATTGACAGGGAAAACTGGGGCTGGTGTTCCAGAGCCCTGCCCGGCGCTGCCACACCATTTGCTTTATGTTAAACAGAGAATAATCATTCTTCCTCTAAGGAGGAATGCAGGCCTGATCCCCACAACATAAATGTGCCCAGTCCTGGAAAGGCCCTACCTGGGAGCAGTGCCAAGAGGCCCAGGGGACGGGAGCCAGGCCTCCCCAGCCATGTGGAACCGTGAATCTATTAAACCTCTTTTTCTGTTCAAAACCAGACTGCGAGGCCTATGGAAGGGCAGGTGATATGGTTTGGCTGTGTCTCCACCCACATCTCATCTTGAATTGTAGTGCCCATATTCCCCACATGTCATGGGAGGCACCCAGTGGGAGGTAATTGAATCATGAGGGCAGGTTTTTCCCAAGTTGTTCTTGTGATAGTGAATAAGTCTCATGAGAACTGACAGTTTTATAAAAGAACAATTCCCCTGCAGACGTTCTGTTGCCTGCTGCCATGTAAGACATGCCTTTGCTGCTCCTTCACCTTCTGCCATGATTGTGAGGCCTCCCTAGCCATGTGGAACTGTGAATCCATTTAACCTCTTTTTCTTTATAAATTACCCAGTCTCAGGTATTTCTTCATAGCAGTATGAAATGGGCTAATACAGCAGGAAAGCAAGAGGACAAAGTCAGCATGGGCAAGCAGAAGGGGCTGGCAGCTATGACCACACCCCTCACTGGTCAGCCCACTAAGCCCCTGTGTGCAACAGAGGTGGAGCCAGGATAGAGGACAGCACCAGAGTCGGCTGCCACTCTGCCACCTGAGGCTGACCTCCTGGGGCCAGAGACCAGAGCTGGCCATCAATTCCCTATAGGGCCCAGGTGGGGAATTCTGAGGCCCTCAGTCATTCCCTGTGAGCCTGTGATGAGGCCCGCAGTTCCCTGCCACCCTCTCAGCCTCAGCTTAGTGCCCAGGGCTAGATTCACATTATGCCATGTAAGGAGGCTCAACTGCACCCCCAGGCCACAGGCCTAGGCTCCCCCAAGCAAGCGTCAGCCATGGGAGCTGGAGCCCATGTGGACAAGCAGTGAAACTGCAGACAGGCCCCGGAGGAAGAGGACTCCCGATGCTGCTTATGTAATGCCTTCTTAGGGGACAGGAACAGGCTCCCCTTCATTCCACAGCATCTCACGTTCTGCTCCAGCCATGGCTCTTAAACGTTTGCCACAGTGGGGGGCCCTTAGGAAAGGTGTGTGCCTTGTACCTCAAGGGTAGCAAGGACAGAGGGTAAGGCCACCCTGGGACACTGCCCACCTCCCCTGGCCCAACCATGTCACGAGAGAGAGAGAGAATCATTACTAACCACTGTTGGGCTGAACCCTGCACATGGGGCAATCAATCAGTCATCCAGTGACAGATGCTGGGCACAGCCCTCATGGTGTTGCCTCCCAATCTCATTCATCACAACTGTTCCTCCTGGCCTCAGGAGGACAGCTCCCCCTGCCGCACTTCCCTCATAAGCATGGCTCTCTGATGTGGCCTTCAGACTCTCTTCAGCTACACACATGTGTAAGGGTGCACATGTGCATACTTGTTCCAGTCTGGCAGAGAGGTAGGTGCCTTATCCCACGGGGTAGGCACCACTCCACTCTCTGCCCACCCTGTTCTTTAACAAGAACAGGCTTGGAGACATACGGACCAGGGTTCAAATCCAAACCTGGCAGGTAGAAGGGGCTAGTTCCTCTTGCAAAGCTGCTGGCCAGCCCAGCTCAGAGCTCAGGGTGCAGTTGGGACCCCAGACCCAACCACGCCTGCTCTGTGAAGTTCCCTCCAACTCTGGAAGCCAGGCCTCAGCAGGTGCAGGGGTGGCCAGACACCCACGAGAAGGCCCGGCACAGGCATCCCACACCTGTTTCCTCCAACCCACGAGGGGCACAACTCACACCCACTTGCTTAGCCAGGGCATAGGATTCCCTCCCAGGGTAAAGGTCCCTGCTGCAAGGATGGCCCAGACAGGTGCATGCCCACCATGCTCAGTGCTTCACAAGGCCCCCAGCCCTAGCTGGCAGCAGACAGGCAGCATGACACAAAGGGAGCACCAGCTCCTCTGCGGCCAGAGAACATTTCCATGCCATACATCAGGGGCAATCCTCGGCAGACTGAATGCCCAGAGTCATTCCTGCCTTGTTCCATAGGGCCTGGCCCAGCTGCCCCACCCTCCAGGCCCTCAGGACCACAGGGCTCTGCCTCTGTCCCTTCAATGTTGGACACAAACCCACACCCTAGCATGCACCATGGTCAGGTCCAGCTGAATTCAGCCTGGTATCTTATTCCCAGGACCCGGCCTGAGACAGTGCACTGGACCTTCATGCATGGCCGATGAAGTGCCTAGGGTGTGCGACAGCGGACAGGGGGGCAAAAGGTACAGCATTGAGAGCAGGAAGCCAGTGAAGCCTGCAGCAGGTGACAAGGCTGTGACAGGCCTCGTGCCCCCATGTGCCTCCACTTGCTGTGGAGATTAATTCACCTGACAAATCAATCCTACCCACTTCTGACTTCATTACATAGTCACATAATTACACACAAGTTTGGGATTTTTAAGGAAGTGATTTACGGTGGCTCTGAAGATCTGGACAGGGTTAGTGCCATCCTCTTTCCCAGGAAGTTGGAGAAGCACTTTTCAATTTAACGAGCCATGTTTTCTCAAGAACTGTTACCCCAAATACCTGAGGAAAGAGCTGCATGAAATAGGCACTGGGATAGCTTCAGTCTGCCCAAGAAGACAGTGAGGGTGGGCAAGGTTATGCCTGTCCATTAAGGCCTGGAGTGTGCCCACCACAGAGACCAGGAAACTGAGGCCCAGAGGGTGTAGCGCTCTGGCCAAGGTCTCACAGTTGTGGAGCACAGAGCCGGTCAGAAGCATGGTCTGTCTGTTACAGATGCCCTGTTTGATTCTGCACCACGCTATCTCTTCAGAACACACAGCACTGGCTGTTCTTGCCTCCTGTGGCTCTCACACAATTCCCACACTTGAGTCCTAGCCTTCTGAGGCACACATCTAGATTGGGTGGGGAACACGCTCTTCAATGAAAGCAGAGCCCTAGGGGCCAGCTGCCCCTCCCCAGCAGTGTCCGGGGCACACGGAGCCTTCATTCCCCATTCAGCAAGCACTGAAGCCTCTTCTGTGTGCCAAGCACCAGAGCCGGCACTGTGGAGAGAAAGATGCCATCCCCCCTCTCCAGCAAAGGTTGGAATCTAGGGGAGAGATTGACATCAGTCAAATAAGCCTGTGACAGACAGATCATTGCAGAGTGAAGTCTGCACCCTGAGGGAAAAGCACGGGCACTGTGCATGTGTCTAACTGGCCTGGGCACCACAGGTCACCCAGGAATGCTGCCCTGAGGAGCCGCGATGGGGAGAGGAAAATGATGGTAGAGTTAGCATGGTATGCAAGGGGGACAAGAGGATGGGGGCTGCTTCAGGGAGAGGAAGCCTTGTGAGAGAAGATGTTGGAAAGGCCAGTGTTCCCAATTGCAAAGGAGGATGATGATATCCACTGCTCAGCATGGCAGTCAAGACCACGGTCTTGGGGACCATGAGCTCCAGGGTCTGAGAGCTCCCCAAGTGTCTGTCCTTCCCTGACCCTTTGCTCCTGCTCTAGGAAATTTCCTGTCAGCAATAATCCAAATGAGAAAAATCAAACACTGCACATGCAGGTTTACACTGAACACCGTCAAAAAAAAATTGAAGATTGGAAACAGTCACAATGTCCAACAACAGGAAACATTAGGTAGGGTATGCAATAACAATTCTTCATCTCAATGCAATCACTAAAAATGACGATTAGAAAGGCTTTGCAACCACACAGGAAATGTTTATCCCAGGATGTTAGGTCAAAAAAGCAAAACACAAAATCTCATCTAGATTATGGGATGGAGGGAGGGGCCAGCTTCAGGTGTGGGAATACAGGGAGGTTCTGGCTTCAGGTGTGGGGATGGAGGGAGGGGCCTGCTTCAGGTGTGGGGATGGGAGAATGGGCCTGCTTCAGGTGTGGGGATGGGAGAATGGGCCTGCTTCAGGTGTGGGGATAGAGGGAGGAGCCTGCTTCAGGTGCGGGGATGGGAGGAGGGAGCCTTGAGTTCAAGTCAAACATTTCTTCCTGGGCTGCACACTTGGGCCAAGTCATTCACTTCTCTGATTCCTGATCATCAGAGATGATCAGGAATGTGCAGTGAGAAGAGGGGTCTTGGTGAGGTGCACGGGCATGTCTACGGAAGCAAGGGAACGAAGGGCAGGACTGCATGGCCGCTGGCAATGGAGAGTTCCGGGAATGGGCAGGCTCCAGGATGAGGCCGTTGGAGGTGGCGGCTAAGATGGGATAGAGAATGGAGCTGGGGAGGTGAAGGAGCCCAGGGGTGAAGAGGAAAATGAATTGACAACAAGGAGGAGGTGAGGAGAGAGGTGAAGTTCTACGAGAGAGGACTTCTAGATCAGAAGCCTAGATGGGTCTTTGTGGTGACAGAATCCAGACTCCTGTGGAGAGTGAGGGCCAGACCTGCCTACGGAGAACACCAAGTGACACAAATCCTGCATGACAAGTCTAGGAAAAGGAAGCTTTCCCAGTGCAGGCACAGCAGGAAAGCCCAGCCTGGAACCCAGATATTAGGCCTGGTGACAGCTCACTGAGTATTAGCGCTTTGCCTTAGGTGGCACCACGGCACACCTGCATCCTATCCAGGTGCCTTCTTCTCACTGCCCGATAGCTGCTCTGGGAGGGAACCTGGAGCCCTGTGGCCCTGCCCTGGCCCAAACAGCTATTCTGCTGGAGACCTTTGACTGCTGGAGGTGTGCCCTGATAACAATGCACAGCCATGAGGACCGTGATCTGAAGGGCGTCCCTTGGCAGGTACGATGTACAAGCCTCACAAATGTCAGTGGCAAACCCCACAGGGTGGCCCAAACCTTGGCCTAGTTATATTGATACAGGAGGTGGGAAGGGAAGGGCATGGGCCCTTTAAATGATACAGAATGGGGGAAGGGAAGGGTGTGGTCCCTGGCTAGGGCTCCACTCCCTGGCCTGTGCCCATGGACCTAAGTGAAGACAGGCATTTTTGTTTTCCTGCCCAAATGTTGCATTTCCCAAGACCTCCCCTGGCCTGCCATGCCCCTATCCTGTGCCCATAAAAATGCTGAGACCCTAACAGGCAAACACACAGGCAGCTGAATATTGAGAGGAGCTCATCATCGGGGGAACACACAGGTGGCTGGACATCGAGAGGAGCACTTCAGCAGGTACCGGGAGGCCAGCCAGCCACTGACCAGCAGAACAACGCAGAATTTGGCCAGGGCACTCAGAGGAGAACCCAGGCTGCCAAACAACCCAACTCCAGGGGAAAACCATCTCCCTTCTTGCTCCCCCATCTGCTGAGAGCCACTCCCACTCAATAAAACCTTGCACTCATTCTCCAAGCCCACGTGTGATCCAATTCTTCCAGTACATGAAGGCAAGAACCCGGGATACAGAGAGCCCTTTGTCCGTGCGACAAGGTAGAGGGTCTAATTGAGCTGGTTAACACAAGCCGCCTACAGACAGCAAACTAAGAGAGCACCCTGTAACACATGCCCACTGGGGCTTCAGGAGCTGTAAACATTCACTCCTAGACATCGCCATGGGGTCGGAGCCCCACAGCCTGCCCGTCTGTATGCTCCCCTAGAGGTTTGAGCAGCGGGGCACTGAAGAAGCGAGCCACACCCCCATCGCACACCCTGCGAGGGGGACAAGAGAACTTTTCCCACTTCAATATAACCTCTTTGCATCCAGCTTCCCCCAGTAAAACAGAGATTTTAACAAAACCCTACCTTGTGGAATTTAGGGGATTCGACAAGATAAACAAAAAAAGTGCTCAGAAAAGTGGTAAGCCTCAAAAGGTTATTAGCTGTTATTATTCTGCGTGCTTGGAATGGAGCTTTGTCCTATTTTTCTCCTCTGGGACTGGAAACTTCCATGACAGAAGGTGTTCACACATGCATGCACATACACATGCACACCCACACATGTGCACACAGACATGTATACACAATATTCCAGAAGGAGCTCCATCTCCCCAAAAGAGCAGAATCCCTGGGATGGAGCAGTGCCAGCCCTCACATGCCATCCCCAGCACCAGACTCTGCTCTGCTTTTCTCCTTGGGATTGTTTGCATTTCCTTATCTGCCTCCCTTCTAGTCTTTCTGATTTCCCACTTCCTTTGATTTGCAGGTCCTATGTTTAACAAGAGAGGTCTTTGATCACTTTCAGAATTTCACCAGCATGTTTTGAAAAAGGCCCAGGCACCTAAGGGCACACCAATGCCTGTGAGTCTGGCAGTTGTGTTTCGATCACTCAGTTTTCCTGAGTTGTCTTAGGGCAGACCCCACCGAGGTTGGCTATCATAAGTGCCCACCCTGTCCGGCTTCCCTCTCCGAGCCCCTCCCCAACCCATGCCATCCCTAGCGTGTGCTGCCTTCACTGAGTTCTCACTGCAGCCCAGCCTGCACACCTCCCACATTAAAGAAACCCAAACATTCGTTCCACCTTCCCTTCATCGACCTTTTCTTCTGTTCTCCTGACCCTTTTTTAAGCAAACGTTCTTCCAGCTGTGGTTATAGATTGAGTATATTTCACAATATGTATCTGCTCTCCTGTTTATCTTGCTTCAAGGTAGTTTCCCTCCTCTGTAAGCCAAAACAACCATTCCCTTAACTCCAGCGAGGGCCTCAGCCTAGCAGCTAATAAGACATGGTGAACAACAGAAGGAAAGAGCAAATCTGACGTGCAAAGAAAATGAAACACTGAGTGTTCAGAAGATGATATGCTCCCGCCACCGCCCAGGGTGAACAAGGCTTACAAAACTCAGCACAGGTCTTGAGCCCCCAACACAAGGGGCCTTGTTAATGGGCTCTAGGAATTGCTGTCATCAGGCTGAGGAACAATGGCCTGCCTCAACATCTCAGTGGCCAAACAGGGCTCTCTCCAAGCCCATGCTGGCTCCCTCTCATGTCTCAACTCCACAGGACAACCACACACATTGCTTTGTGCCAGGTTGCCACTGCAGGCACACCCCAGCTATAAGCCAGGCCTGCCATTGGACATAGCATGATAGTCAGGTCGCAGAAGGCCTCTCTATGTCATCAGATCATCTGGGGAGATGTTTAAGCATCTCATTGACTGGCCTCCTCCCTAGGGATCTCACTTAGTTGGTCTAGATGGGATCTGGGCCTTGATCCTAACTGAAAGCTCTCCAGGTGATTCTAACCTGCAGGCCAGGATGAGACCATGGGCTTTCAAGAGCTGGAACTCTAGAGGAAGATGGCTGGGGTCCAAATCCTGCTTCTGTGGTCCAGCCTCACTAGGCTTCAGTGTCCTCAGTTACAGCACTCCTCATAGGTAAAGAAAAAAATGCATGTCAAGGGCCTAGCACAAAGTAAGCATTCAATAAATCTTAAACTCTGCCATTCTTTTTTTTTTTTTTTTTTTGAGGGGGAGTCTCACTCTGTCACCCAGGCCGGAGTGCAGTGGAGTGATCTTGGCTCACTGCAACCTCTGCCTCTCGGGTTCAAGCAATTCTCCTGTCTCAGCTTCCTGAGTAGCTGGGATTACAGGCACGTGCCACCACGCCTGGCTAATTTTTTATATTTTTAGTAGAGACAGGGTTTCACCATATTGGTCAGGCTGATCTCGAAATCCTGACCTCAGGTGATCCACCTGCCTCGGCCTCCCAAAGTGTTGGGATTACAGGCATGAGCCACCGCCCCCGGCCTTCCATTCTTTATTCACCCCCTGGGTCACCCATCCCAGGTCCACTTCTCTCCCTGCTCTACCATGTGGCTCTGCTTTTTAGAGAGAAATGGAAAGGGCTGCTGGGTCTGTCTGTGCTGGCTGGCCCAGGAAGAGGGGAAGATGGCTTGGGGCAGAACACCTGCCACAGGCCTCTTTGAACACCTCCCTACAGCAGCCACCTATTGAGAAGGAGGGCACCATTGCGAAGAGGCAATGGGGGGAAAGCTGGGCATCAGGGGGACTTCCAGCCTCTACCACCCAGAAGCCTGGGGCTCACTACTGCCCTCCTTAGGCCATCACTGAGATGGCCATCCCAGGACCAGGCTTAGCATTCCATGTCTGCTCTCAGGCACCACTCTTCTTCCCCTCTTTCCCAGCTGTAACGTTGGGAAAGAGGCTAGCCCACAGCTTTCATCCTAACAAAACTTGGAAAGAGTTAATCAGATGAGGTGGGCACCCCAGAAGACCCTCAGGTTCAGAGTGTCCATGTGTGTCAATGTAAAGAAAGAATTAACACAATAAAATTTAACAACCAAATAAAATTCTTCACTCATTGATTCATGTGCTTATTCAGTAAACAATTCTAAGAGCCTCCTCTATGCCAGGCACAGATTTGCTGGATGTGGAGAATGCAGACACAAATAAAGCCCAGCGTATCAGTTAGTAATTGCCAAAATAATGCTGCATAACAAACAACTCAAAACTCAGTAGCTAAAACAAGCATCATCTATTCACACAGATTTGTGGGTTGCTTGGGCAGATCTGCTCCTCACTGCAAGTTTGTAGCTCAGCTCAGTGGCTCCTGTAGGCCCCTTATGTTTCTCATCTGCCTTGGACCAGTAGATTTTCAAGAACATGAAGGTGATAGAAACTCAAGAGGACAGGTGGAAACATCCAATATCTCTTTTTTTTACCCAGGCTCAGAACTGGAAGTTTGTCATCTCTGCCTACATGCCCTTGGCCACAGCAAGTCACAGGGTTTTTAATTCCCTACTAAAATCCACCCACCATGAGAACATAGCAAGCATGTGGATGCAGGGCTGTGTGAGGAACTTGGGGCAACCATCCAATCAACCATGCCCAGCCACTGACCTTAAAGACCTCCCCCTGGCCTGGATAGAGAAAGCAATGCATCAGGAATAGTTGCAACACAACATGATTTTGCCCCAATCACTGAAGTTATTTGGGATCCAGAGTATTTTCTAGCCTGAAAGATACCTGTATGTATCTCAGGGAAGGACACCTGTTCCCTGATATATGTGTTCTATAAATTAAACTGGGCAAGAGCTGTCACTCACTTAACAGGTGGAATATAAGGGACTTGGAGGGATAAAGGGGTTAACCCAAGCTACATTCAACTGCCTTCATTATTATTTGCACCTGGTGAAAGTGTTCACATGAAAGAGGATGAGGATCTGGTGTTCACAGCTTCCCAGGCTAACAGATATCAGTGTTTGGCTGGTCCAATCAGTCATGCCATTGAAGGAAGTCAAAGAACTCAACCTGATAGGAAGAGGCACTGAGGATTAGGTGCAGCCTTAACCTGCTGGAAAGTGCCATTGTTTGCAAAGAAATAGAATCTCTGGATGACATTCCATGGTCTGGGAATACTACAGACGTTGTCTTTTCCAAGTCCTCCAGGAATCTAATGAGGTGTAGTCTCCACCCGACAATAAAGACATGGGCCACCATGAGGCTACAGTCCAGGCCCAGAGTCCCACACTGGTGAGTGGCTGAGGCAAGGCTGCAGGTAGGCACTTTCAGGTGTAAGACCTGAGTTGCCACAAAGTGTCTTAGATGACTCAACACAGGAGTTGTCCAAGTCATCCCAGGTGAGGACACAGCACCTCATCCCTATGACTAGGGACAGGGGACACAGTGCTGGGACCTAGGACCCCAGGTCAAGCCAGGCCAGCCAGGAGCAGGCAGGCTTAGCAGAGATTCCTCACGCCACATCTGCAGGATGAGGCGTGGCCCAGCTCTGTCTCAAAACCTCCTGGAACTAATCTCATTGGCCAGTCACAGGGATATGTATTCTCTTCCCAGCTCCTCAAGTGAACATCTGTTTTTCTCAAAGCTGTGAATGTCACGTCAAGAATCTCCAATTACCTTCCCCTTGGTTTTATTTAGCATCAGTGTACTGGAGGCATAATTAGTCTGAGATGAAAACCTGTATTGTTCCCTTCTCCTCAGCAATGAAATAGGTTCCAAATGTGCTAACAGAGAGGATCCTTCTCCAAAAATGACAAACAGCAAGTGAAGGATGAAAGCAAGAGTGAAATACAGATTAATGACAACTGCGGCCGAGCAGGGGTGGGGGTGGGGGTTGTGATTGTGGTGTCTGCCAGGGGGCTCCTGCTGCAAATCTCACCTCCTCCTCGGCTCCTAATGAGGACGGGCCTTCTCCACAACACAAAAGTGATGCTGATGAAGATGAAAGAGCAATTTCCACTGATATGTTTTCTAACGATACATCATGAGAACCAAGGCAACTCCAGGGACTGCTGATGAGATGGTGTCATGCAGCATTCTTCTCCCTGTGAGCCTGGCCATGCTCACAGCCTGGGGGCTTTGGCTGAGGGATGCATGTTTTGCATTGGCCAGGATTACCCAAAATTAGGGGGGAAAAGATGCACACAAAGTTTATGAGTAGAAGACACCCCTAGAAGTTGGGTATTTAAAGTACCAAGACTCAGAAGCCCTCAATGACCCAGCCTTTGCCAGAGACTAGACCTTTAGCCTCCGATTTGTCCAATACTTGTTAAAGTGAGGCTTTAAGGGTCTTACTCATCTGATGCATGCAATGATATTTGTTCTGCTTTCATGCTTGCCTTCTTAAAGACTCTTCACAGATCAGCCAGAGGGTTCACTAAAGAGGAAATGGGTCATGTCATTGCCCTATACAAACCCTCCAATGACTTCCCATCACACTTAAAATAGAACCCCAACTCCTCGTCTAGCCCACATAACCCCAGGTGGCATTCTCTCACCCACCTCTCTGACCCCACCATGCTGCTGCCTCCCCTCCTTTCATTAAGCTCAAGCCACACAGGCATTCTCTCTCTGTTCCTCTAACAGGCCAGCTTTAATTCCATCTTGGGACTTTTGCAATGGTAAAGGTCTCCCTTACAAAAGCAAAGGCCTTCTCAGGCCTGACTCCAGCAATCAGATGTTAGCTGAAAAGTCAGAGTGGTCACATAGCCGAAAGTAGCCCCAGTCATGTCTCATTACATGGTTCTGTTCTAATTCCTTACAGAACTCTTCACCACATGATATTATTTTGCTTTTTTGCCTCTCCCTCTCTCACATAAAATGCAAGTTCCATAGGTGTGGTGGCCTCGCCTGGTTTACCCCCTGCCAGACCCCCACACCCTGCAGAGCTTCAGGGCATCTGACACACAGGAGGTGCTCAGTAACTACTGATGAACTCAGGCCAGTGGGTGAGCTGGTGGGGCTGGGCTCATCAAGAAGACCACAAAGTTCATGCATCTATCTTCAGATAACCGAGGGGCTGACGGGAAAAGAAAGTAAAATTGCCGTGTAGCCCAAGAACACCCATCCAGAACTAATGGGTAGAAGCCACAGGACAGCTTTTGCCTAACATAAGGTAATTTTCTCACTTCAAGCTACCCAACAACAAAATAGGTTTCCTTAATCGATGGTGAGTTCCCCATGTGCAGAGGTTTGTAAGCAGAGGCCACTGCTGGAGCCTGTGTAGTGGAGAGATGAGCATCCTTCTAAGCACCTGAGTCCACAGCATTCACATTGGTTTCCTCCATCTCGGTGGGATCATAACCCCCTGAAGGAGGGTGGGGCCTCATTCCCCAGCAGGGGCTCTCTGCACAGGGTGGGGCGGGGGTGTCAGATGGAGCACAGGTGTCCACCAGACATGGAGTGCAGTATACGTTCCTGGCTCCTGTTAAGGGGTAAGCTGGAGGCTCCAGGCCAGGCTAAATCCATGGGGCCACCATGTGGAGGCAGGCACCTTCCTGGAGGGACTAACCTTGTGGTCTATGCTTTCCTCCAGGGACACAAGCCTGGGGAGTGGACAGGGAAGGCAGTGGAGAGGTGGCAGTCAGGGAACACCACAAACTGCCCTCTAACTGTTCCTCTGCCAGTGCTCCCACAGCCCTGTGAAGGAGAACATGACTTCCATCCCACAGATAAGAAACTCAGGGCTCAGGAAGGTCACATTATTTGTCCAAGTCCTACAGCGGGTCTGGGAGATGCTGGGAGTTGCGCTCACATCTGACTGATGCCACAGCCTGCATTCTTGACAGCTTGACCCCCGAAGGTCAGGCAGCTCCCCTCAGACTGCAGACCTGCCAGTTGGAAACATTCTCAACTCCTCCTGTCTTTCCCTCTCCCCTGTCTTCTGAGAAAAGGAAGCCCCTTAAACCTCCTAGATCAAGCCCTAACTGGAACCCCACTGAGTTCCGCACTCTGTCATCTGACACAGACCTATTCGGAGGGAAACTGGTAGAACCAGAGCATTGGCAGGCTCCCACCTCCCAGCATTAGCAGGCACAGAGCTGTGATGCCACAGTCTCCTCCAGGGCATGGCTCCATCATAAACCTGCATTTCCATCACCCAGTACAGGTACTCTCACAGGAGGCACTCAGCAGGGATGTAGTGACAGCAGGTAAGAATCCACCTCTCTCCCTGCCTGCTCCTGGGATCCAGTATTGGCCCATGTATCTTCCCCATTTCCTCAGGCTTCCTGGACTTTTGTTGGAGGGAAAGAGGAACAGAAAGAGGAGCAGGCAGGAGAAGCAAGAGCTCCCGGGGGCTATGAAAGGTAACATACCTGGAGAGTTTGGGGAGATGGCGGCTTGTGAGAGACAAGGGGAAGAGACAGAAACAGGAGTATTCTAAGAAGCATGGCTGTGAGTTATGAAAAGGATCCTCTTTGACATTCTTCAAAGAACACCAGTAAAGGATTGCTTTGCATGCCACTACTTTCTTTTTCTAATGTGACTCTACATAGACATTGAGGCACCACTGCTGCATGAGGCACAACTACTTATATTTGGATTACAAATGAATGAAACAATAGATGAATGAATGAATGAATGAATGAATGAACAGATGAATGAAAACTTGGAATCCACTGTTCAGTTCCCTAAGTCCCAAGTCTCTCCTGCCTATGTTAAACACGATAGCAGCTAACACCCCTAGGTAAATGTGCTAGGCACACCTTTAAGTGCTCTACATGTCCTAACTTCTTTAATCTGCCACCTACAAGGTAGGTAATCTCATTACCCCCATTTTTCAGGTGAAAAAAGTGAGGCATTCACCTAAGGTTCTACAGTTAGTAAGAGGTGATTAGACAGAATTCCAACTCAAGCCTGGGTCCTGACCCATTTGCTTAGCCATTCTGCTAACCCGTGAGGTGATCTACTTGCCTAAAAGGACCGACAGAGCCAGCGACCCCAGCACACAGGGCCAGCCCCATCCCAGCTGCTCCTGGCAGAAGGAGCCTGCTGGTCTATTACCTGGGAGGCCAAAACATGTGTACGATCAGGCACTGCTTAACAACATTTCAGTTAACCATGTACTGCATCTAAGACAGTGGTCCCAGAAGATTATATTGCTGAATTTTTACTGTACCTTTTCTGTTTAGGTGTGTTTAGATATACATATACCATTAGATATACAAATACCACCGTGTTACTATTGCATTCGGCACAGTCCCATGCTATGCAGGTTTGTAGCATAGGAGCGATAGGCTGTACCATAAAGCCTAGGTGTGTTGTAGGCTGTACTGTCTAGGTTTGTGTAAGTACACTCTATGGGGTTCGTACAATGATGACATCGCCTAACAATGCATTTCTCAGGATGTATCCTCATCGTTAAGTGATGCGTGACTGTATGTCTTCTAATAGCTCAAGAGTAAACAGCAGAAATATCAACCAAGTGCAGTTGTCACTTTCTTGGCTGTAGTCAGTAAGTGCTTACAAAATTTTATTTCACACAAACAATAAAATAACATGAAAAATAAGTATCTGGAAAACATTGAGCCTGGAGTGTTAAGGCCAAGGCACATCTGCAATGCCTCTACCCCTAGAATCTGTCAGGCACATACTCAAACAGCAACAAGGCTGCTCTCTCCCGCAACTCCCCAGATGAGCACTCAGGGAGGAGCCCAGGGTGAGAAGCTGCCCTTCCCAAACAGCTGGAAGGATCAGGTGGCCAACTTCAACTTGTCTTAGAGAGAGGCCAAAGGGTCAGAGGCTGCTTGTGGGAGAACGATGGCCATCCATAAGTGGTAGACTTCTCTAGGGCTGAGAGTACCTCTGACTCATCTATTTCCAGAGGTGAGCCCTAGATCTGACACACAAGCAAAAGGCAACATGCAAAAAATGATTGTGGGGTTGACTTGAATTTAATTAAGTTAAATCAAATGCCCCCCACCACCACCATTTATGGGGAGAGGAGCACCAGCAGCCTGAGGACAGACTATGTGGCCAGGGGCTAAGGCTCACCAACAGGGAACCCAAGCCTTATTCACCTGCCAGCCCAGAATGTAGCACAAGCCTTCAATCCACCACCAAATAAATTGTCCCTTAGAGCCAGGTCCAGAGAGGCAGAGGTGGCCCAAAGAATGATTCTCAGGGAAATTTTGAGTCCTCTCCTGCTAGCCTGTATACCACCACCATCACTGCAATCACTATCACCATCACAACCTTCATCACCATCACCACCATCATTACCACAATCACCAATACTACCACCATCACCATCACCACCATCACCACTACCATTGCCACCACCACCAATAACAACACCTTTACCACCACCACCATTACCACCACCACCATTACCACAATCAGCAATACTACCACCATCACCACCAACATCACCATCACCAACACCATTACCAGCACCACCAATAACACCATCACTACCATCATCATCACCACCACCACTACCATCACTATCACCATCAGCACTACCACTATCACCACCACCAGCACTAACACCAACACCATCACCACCATCACCACCATCATCACAGCAATCACATCACCACCATCATCACCACCACTACCACTAACACCATTACCACAATCACCAACACCATCATGATCAACACCAACATCACCACCAACACCATCACTATTACCACCACCAATACAAACACCATCCTACCACCACCACCATTCCCATCACCAACAATAACAACACCATCACCAGCATCATAATCACTATCACCACCACCACTACCATCACTATCACCACTACCATCATCACCACTGCCATCACCACTGCTATCACTATCACCACCATCATCAACATCATTATCATCACCACTATCACCACCACCACCATCACCACCACCACCATTAACCTCACAGATCACAACTAATTTGACCTTCAAAAAGTGAATTAGAATATCCCAGCTGAATGGAAAGATGCTCAACATCATTAATTATCAGAGAAATGCAAATCAAAAGCACAATGTGATACCACGTCACTCCTGCAAGAATGGCCATAATCAAAAAATAATAGATGTTGGCTTGAATGCAGTGAAAAGGGGACACATTTACACTGTTGGTGAGAATGTAAACTAGTACCACCTCTATGGACAACAGTGTGGAGATACCTTAAAGAACTAAAAGTAGATCTACCGTTTGATCCAGCAATCCCACTACTAAGTATCTACCCAAAGGAAAAGAAGTCATTATACAAAAAAGATACTTGCACACGCATGTTTATAGCAGCATAATTTGCAATTTCAAAAATATGGAACCAGCCCAAATGCCCAGCAATCAACAAGTGAATTAAGAAAATGTGAGACAGATAGATAGATATATATACACACACACACACATCACCATGGAATACTACTCAGCCATAAAATGGAATGAAATAATGGCATTCACAGCAACCTGGATGGAACTGGAGACTGTTATCCTAAGTAAAGTAACTTAGGAATGAAAAATCAAACATCGTTATGTTCTCACTCATATATGGGAGCTAAGTTATGAGGATGCAAAGCCATAAGAATCATATATTGGACTTTGGAGACTCGGGGGAAAGGGTGGGGGCTGGCAAGGAATAAAAGACTATACACTGGGTACAATGTACACTGCTCAGGTGATGGGTGCACCAAAATCTCAGAAATCACCACTAAAGAATTTATTCATGTAACCAAACACCACCTGTTCCCCCAAGAACCTATTGAAATAAAACAAAAAAATTTTAAAAATTAAAATAAAAAAAGAATATCCCATGCTGAAGAATTCCAAACAACGGATGTAGATACTCCACTCTTGAGAGATGGAGTGTAGTTCTCCACTCTTTAAGTGTGGGCTGCAAATAGTGAGATCTTTCCAAAGAGGGCAGCATGGGGGAACAAAGGGTCATTTTTTAGTGGAGAAACCTTGACAAACACTGCCTCAGCCAGGTGGTCAAGGTCTACACCAACAGTGATAAGTCATGTTAATAGTAAGTACCCTTGACATGGTGTGATGAGAATGGCACTACCTCCATGGTCTTCCTTCCCAAACCCATAACCCAAATCTAATCATGAGAAAAACATTAGATAAATCCCAGTTGAGGGGAATTCTACAAAATACTTGACCAGCACTGCTCAAAACATCAAGGTCATCAAAAGCCAAGAAAAGCCTGAGAAACTATCACATCCAAGAGGTGCCTAAGGAGACCTGACAACTAATGCAATGTGGTATCCTGGATAGGATCCTAAGACAAACAAAACAAAACAAAAGGACATTCAGTAAAAACTAAGAAAATATAGGCCGGGCACAGTGGCTCATGCTGTAATCCCAGCACTTTCAGAGGCTAAGGCAGTGGATCACTTGAGCTCAGGAGTTCAAGAGCAACCTTGGCAACATGGAAAAACCCTGTCTCTACAAAAAATACAAAAATTATCCGGGCATGGTGGTGTGTACCTGTAGTTCCAGCTACTTGGGAGGCTGAAATGGGAAGATTGCTTGAGCCTTGGAGGCAGAGGTTGCAGTGAGCTGAGATCAGGCCACTGCACTCCAGCCTGGGTGACAGAGTGAGACCCTGTCTCAAAAACAAACAAACAAACAAAAACTAAGAAAACATAAATGAAATATAGACTTTAGTTAATAATGTATCAATATTGGGTCCCTAATTATGACAAATGTTCTATAATGATGTAAGAAGCTAAAAATGGGGAAAACTGGGTGTGGGGTATATGAGAACTCTCTATAGTATCTTCATAATGATCCTAAAATTTAAAGTTTATTCAAAAAATTGGAATTTCACCCTAAATTCTATAGGATACACTTCTAAAATACTCCTCTAAAATGTTTCTTCCTCCCCAATTATCCCTTCCTTAGCTCGATGTTATGTTGACGCTCACCCAAATATTAGCACTGCCCTTCCTCCTGGCCACAGGCATCCCATCTAGGGCATCCTGTTTCCTGAGGCCACTCACAGCTTTCAAGAACACAGATGTGAGGAGGCACATTTATGCTGCAATGGTTCCCACTGTTGTGTTTTTGTTTTTTTGGGTTTTTTTGAGACAGAGTCTCACTCTGTCGCCCAGGCTGGAGTGCAGTCGCGCCATCTCAGCTCACTGCAAGCTCTGCCTCCTGGGTTCACGCCATTCTCCTGCCTCAGCCTCCCGAGTAGCTGGGACTACAGGTACCCGCCACCATGCCCGGCTAATTTTTTTTTTCTTTTGGTATATTTTAGAAGAGAGGGGTTTCAACGTGTTAGCAAGATGGTCTCGATCTCCTGACCTCATGATCCACCCACCTTGGCCTCCCAAAGTGCTGAGATTACAGGTGTAAGCCACTGCGCCCAGCCAGCTCCCACTGTTTTAAGGACTGATTCTAGCCTCTAGCATGGCATATAGAGTCCTTCCCAGCCTGGCCTCCTGTTCCTCCACATGCCTCTTTTGATGTTGCCATATTAAAATACCAATTGCTCTTTCCTCTAGAAACTTCCTCTAGTGCCCATGCTCTGACCATCTATGCTCCTACCCTTGCTGCCCCACTGTTTTCTGTGGTTGGTCCTTGCCTATCCTTTAAGACTCAGCTCAGATGGTGCTTCCTACAGAAAGCCTTATTTTGCCCCAGGACAAATGTATTGGCTTCAGAGGACGCCCTCACAATCCCTGTACTTATACCTATTCTGTATTATCGTTGATTGCTTACTTTCCCTAAGGACAGACAAGTGCTCTCACCTATGTCTCTCTATTGCCAACCTTCAATAAATGTTTATTTAATGATGAGTAAATGACTTTGGAAAAAAAGGGTGGCATGAAAAATCATGGCCCACAATCCAGGGCTTTTGTTCCTGGGTTTTAAATTACAAATTCTGCTCTTCAGAATTCCATTATCCTCACTAGAGTCCTATATAACCACATCCATTATATGGCAATGTAATGGATTACTAGATTTAATTATAACAGAATAATTAATGTCAAGGTATTGTCAGTTTGGACATAAATATTAAATATCACCTTCTATGTAACTATTTTCTGACTGTGATTGCAAGGATTAGAAATACCAGTTTTTGATGAGAAGTGCCTTTGTCGTGGGGGGAGTGATGCCAAGTGGGACATCTGGTTTGCCGGCTGCCACCAACCTCCAAGTAGAATGCCTCCTCCCTGGCTTGAGGCTGGGCTCCCAACATACCTGGCTCTGCCACAGCCTGTCTCTCACATGTCCTAGTGCAGACCACCACACTTGGCCCTGTGAGTTTCTGGAAGGATCTGTTCAAGTCTCTTGGGAGATCCTCAAGTTGCATATCCCCTTATGCCCTCCATTTCCCTCCACAACATGAAGTAAGAGCAACCACAAGGAGCAAGGGAGACTCAGGAGTTATGACAAGGTGCAGACAACATCGTAAGTCAGGGAGGGGAAGCTGAGCTGCTGTGGACCAGGAAGTCTCCTCCTGGGCCTCCACCTGTCTACCACATCTTCTCCTCCAGCCACCTCTCAAGCTGTGCTTTGGCTCTGTCCCTAAAGTTGCAATTTCATTCTGCACCTTAACAAAAAATCATCACCACCATCACCATCATCACCACATCACCATCATCACCATCACTACCACCACCATCATCACCACCAACACCACCATCTCACCATCATTTATCTCCATCGCCATCATCAACACCATCATTATCACCATTATCATCATCATTAACATAATCATCATCATCACCATCACCATCATCATCACTACCATCATCACCATCATCACCATCACCATCATCATCACTACCATCATCACCATCATCACCATCACCATTATCTCACCATCATTATCACCATCAACATCACCACCATCACCATCATCTCACCATCATTATCACCATCAACAGCATCATCACCATCAAAATCGTCATTATCACCATGACCACAATAATACCAGGGACATTTACTGAGCACTTAGAATGTACAAGGAACTATCCTAAACACTTCAAATGACTGTCTTGTTAAACTCTCATCACATCTTATGATGTAGTCCTGCCACTATCCCTACTTTAGATATAAGAAAACAAAGGTTTGGAGAAGTTTTATAACTTGCCCACAGCCACCAGCCATAAGGGCAGTGCTTGGATTCTAACACCAAACAAACAACTCCAAAGGCTAGATATGCTCTTACCTGCTCTGACATCTCTCCCCTCAAGCCTGCTCCTTACCTTGATTGCTTTAGAAACGTTCCACTGGATACCCCCGGGCCCCAAATACAACCCTGCAGGGCCTCAGTCTCTGTATCTGAGAAATGGGAGCAGTGACAACAGCCTGGCTGTGGACAGAGTGACAGACCTAAGGGCAACCTGTGCCATAGAAGGGAGACAAATGCAGTCATTTACTAACCTACTCCAAGCCAGGCACTTCCCCACACATTACGTCCTTTAAACTTTACCACAGCCTTGGGAGTAAGCAGGCACTAGCTTCTTTATTTTACCAGTAGACACAGGTTCAGAGAGTAAGCAGAGCTGAGTAACTCCCAAAACCCTGCTCTTTCTGCTGGCCCCAACTGTTCCCCGCTCCCTACCCTGAGGACAGGTACCACATGCTGAGCCAGGGACAAGGTCCCTCTGTCTGACCCTGTCGGAGAAGCAGGATCATTCCCTGCACATTCACTTAGAGCAATTAATGAGCCAGGGATGTGCTTGCTTTGCATTTCCAGGGGCTGACGGCCATCCTGGGCATGGCCCCTTATGCGTAGGAAGAAATACCCAACAGCTGGAAGAGGAATGAGCAGCCCTGGAGCTGGAATTCCTGCTCAGCCTCTCCCTGGCACTGGAGCTCCACTGGGTGCCTGGATAACTTATACAACTTCCCTTTACCTATCTTCCTTTGGAAGCTAAAAGTAGCCAGATTTGAAAGGACACTGCCCCTCATAGAAAGAAACAGTCATGATTTTTTAAATTGGTCACTGAATTAAATGTGCAAATAGTGTTCCCCATTTCACAGATAAATTTATTTTTTCCTCACCTTTTAACTGGCCTCTGAAGTCTCCCAGTATGCCTGGACCACAGCTGCTACCTCTGATGGGACTGACCCTGAGGGCCACCCCTGACGTGTGAGCACACATGAGGGAGGGGTGGAGACAAGGGGGGAGCCCAGTTGGAACTGTTGGGCCCCACTTTCTGCAGCTTAGTGCCCTGCCGTGCAGGCCTGGGCAGTGCTCAAGTCCAGAGTCCAGGGACACAGGACTTCAGAGCCATGGCAGCAGAACCAAGGGACCCAAGCATCATTGCAAAGGCTCTGAAAGGTGCCCAGCTTTGAGGATGAACCAGGCAACTGCTTGAGTTTTGAATCAAGTCATGTCATGATTTTGGTTCCGTGCAATGCCAGGCCTGACTACTCCGCCCCAACACTGCCAGTGCCCCGGGGGATCTGGAATGAACGGTGGGGAGGATTGGAGTCTACTGGGTCACAGGAGGAGAAGGGGGACCTACTCAAGACCACCTTGTCCTAAAGGCAAAGCTACAATCCAAACCTAGGGAACAGAGGGCAGAGGGCCATAGCCTGGAACCTACCGGTGATGCTGAGAGTGGAGGGGAAGCAGTTGGGAGCAACAAAGAATGGGATGTGGTGTGGGATGTCCCATATCACTATCTCCCACAATGTCAGTGAGTCCTTTATGGTGGAGGTAGGGGCATCACACAGTTTCAAAGGCCAGTGTGGAAACAGGCAGACAAAGGTGGAACACATGCAAACTCTGCACCCACCCCCACACCCACACATGTCCACACACTGGCATCCCTGATTTGTTTACCTATTGGCACAAGGGCAAACAAATCGCAGCCCTGGGGAGGCGAGGCCCTGCACTGGGCTTGGTAGCAGCCCTGCCTGATTCTCATTAGGTGATGAGCGGAAGGTTTGTGTGGTTGGGGTTTGTTATTGCTGTTGCTTTTGCTGCTTCTCCGAATTCCCTGCTGAAAGAAAGAGGAAAGATGCACTGAAAAGGGGCACGTCCTCTCTCAGCCCTTCCACAAGGAGAGTCCTTGGAGCAGCAAGGCAGGCCCATGTGCACACACATTAATAATGTGCAAAGCTCTTTAGGCTGATTGCTTGCTCCTCACAGGAAGCTGCCACGGTGGCTGCCATGAGGCTGAGCTCACCCCTGCGAACTTGCTCTGTGAGGCACAAAGCAGGAGCCAGCGTGGCTTCCCACACCAAGGGCCCATGCAGGCGGCCTGAGTGCAGGGAGCCCAGAATGAGGCTGCCAGGCAGGGAGCTACCCATCCAGGCCTCGTGGCCCAGGCAAGCAGGGAAACAGAGGGAGCACCTCCCCAGGGTAGCCATTCTCAGCTCCCAGGCTCCCTGTCAGCTGACAACTATAGAGTACAATTCCCTTAGGATTTCTGTGTCCCTGAGCTGCTTCCCATGGAGTCAGAGAGTGGCAGAGACAACACCTTAACCCTGGTCCCTTTCCAGATCATGCTGCTCACCTGCTCACAAACCTCCAGTGACTTCCTATTCAACTGAAACCAAACCCAAAATCTGACAAAGGCCTGAAAGCCCCCAGTGCTTTGATCTTGGACACCTCCCCAATGTCACCTGCCACCACTCTCCCCCTGGCTCACCTGGCACCAGGTACATCCTCCTCCTCAGTGATGCTCCAATGTGCTGAGCTCATTCCAGCCTCAGGACCACATGACATTCCAGATGCCACAATCTCTCTGCAGCAGATCTTGTTTTGGGGGCTCCATCACATCCTTCCAGTCTCTCAATAAACGCCTACTTCTTGGCATCATTGTCCCTAACCACTGCTCTACAGTGGTGCCCCCACGAAACCACTCTCTTCTTACCTTACTGTATTTTTCTTCATGGGGGTTGTCACTACCCACATGACTTTTGGTTTACTCATTTATTTGTTTAGTGTCTGACCACCACCTCCACTAAGATGTCAGCTCTTGAAGACAAGGACCTTGTTTGTCTCAGTCCCTTTATATTCTCAGGGTCTAGAACAGAGCCTAGTCCATATTCACTGCCCAATTAATATCGAATCCATTTCAAGACAGACAAATGAAACCCAGAAAGGCAAGACAGTGCCCTATAGTCATACAGGGAACTGGACAGAGCCAGGGCGGGAGCTTATGGAAACCTTAGTCCCAGGCTCTGGAGAGCCCCTGGGTGTGATATGGGGAACTGGGCAGTTCCCTCCGGGCCTGGCTGATACAGCCAGTGACTTGCTGAGCATCTACTCTGCATAGCCCTTTCAGTGAACTTCAGGGAGCAATCATAAGATGAGGTTGGTCCCTCCCTGCAAGTGAGACATGGTTTTAGAAAAACATGAAAATTGAGGCCACAGCCCAATGCAGTAATGCCTGAGCACTGGCATGGACAGGCTCCCTGGACGTGCTGCACCCACAGCAAGGACTGGAGGAAGACAATCTGGCAGTCGAACATAAAAGCACCATGGCTTCCACGTGACTGCCAATGGGCAAGGCTTTGCCACTCAGGCCCTAAATAGGAAGCTACTTCTCATGCTAACGGTCAGGCAGGCCGAAACCCTCCCCACCTCAGCACAGAGAGTGAACCGGCAGAGTCAGTGTGCCCCAAATGCAGAAAGGAAAAAGCTATAAGACCCACGAACTGAAAGCTGCCAGTCCCAGGATAGTTAACAACCAGCAGCAGCCTTGTGGAGTACTGCTAGGTAGAGCAAACCAATACCAATGATCACCACCCATCTAAAGAGCTGGCCTTCACACAGGAAAGACCAAAAGTGCCTGTAATGGTTAAAGAGCTCAGTTCACATTTAGAGTAGAATTTGAGCAATGGTGGATAAAAAGAACATGAGCTTCTGGCAACTACAGTTGACTCTTGAACAACACAGATTGGAACTGTGAGGCTCCACTTACCTGTGGATTTTTTTCAATCAATGTTTCACTGAATGTGACTGCCTCTCCTTCCTCCCCTTATCCCTCCTCCATCTCTCCCGCCTCGGCCACCCATGAGACAGCAAGACCAACCCTTCCGCCTCTTCCTCAGCCTACTCAACATGAAGATAACAAGGACGAAGACCTCTATGATGAGCCGCTTCCACTTAATGAGTAGTAAATATATTTTCTCTTCCTATGATTTTCTTAATTCCATTTTCTCTACTTTACCGTAAGAATATAGTATATAATACCTATAACATACAAAATTTGTGTTGATCAAATGTTTATGTTATCGGTAAGGCTTCTGGCCAACAGTAAGCTTTAGGAGTTAAGTTTTGGGGGAGTCAAAAGTTATACACAGATTTTTGACTGCATGGGGGGTTGGTTCCCCTAATCTCCACATTGTTCAAGGGTCAACTGCATGAGGGAGACCCCTAAGGCAGGTCACACCCACCAACAAAAGTAAGAAGGATGTTGGAATCACAGAAAACAGGGGTGGTACCTTGAGGAGCCAAGGAAAGAAACAGGAACTCGGCCGGGCGTGGTGGCTCACGCCTGTAATCCCAGCACTTTGGGAGGCCAAGGCGGGTGGATCATGAGGTCGGCAGTTCAAGATCAGCCTGGCCAAGATAGCGAAACCCCGTCTCTACTAAAAATACAAAAAATTAGCCAGGCGTGGTGGCACGCGCCTGTAATCCCAGCTACTCCAGAGGCTGAGGCAGAGAATTGCTTAAACCTGGAGGGGCAGAGGTTGCAGCGAGCTGAGATCGTGCCTCTGCACTCCAGCCTGGGCGACAGAGTGAGACTCCGTCTCAAAAACAAAAAAAAGAAAAAGAAAAGAAATAGGAACTCCTAGGACCACTGTGCTAAGAATGACTGCCTATCCTCAGCAAGAAAGAACTGGGAAAGGAGAACAGGGCTCGCTTCACACTATTCTCATAGTTAATGAGCTTAAGTTGACAGTATATATGCAATAAATCAGACATTACCACTTGGCAGCCTGCAAGCCTTATCAGCCCTGCCACAGGCAGAGTTGGCCAACAAAGAGTTCAGAATTTTTGTAATTAGCTACAAACATTTAAAAACTAAGAGATTTCACAGGAAGTCCAAATTTCTGGCTCCTCTTGAGACACAAGAAATAGTGACCACACCAGGCCTTCTCAGGGGAATCTTGGCAGAGCCTGACAGTCCTCTTCAGAGAAGGATGTTTCCCCCAGGTGCCTGCAGCTGCAATACTCTCAGTTCTTACAGCCCACCTGCTGTCTGCCTTAATATCCCTGCCTGGATGCCATAGGCATTTGGATTTATGACCTGGCTGTCACGCCAAAGGGTGGCTTTAGCCATTCTTCTCTGACCCTTTGATTGTCTTAACAAGCTCCAAGTTACAGAATTATCCAAGAGTAGTTCATGTGGTAGCCTGGATGGGATGGTCCCATTTGATCATTATAGGGCAGAGAGAAGGGGCAGCTATGCGGCCCCCTTCCCACCCTGCTTCGCTAGGCACAGGGCAGTCTCCAACTGAGTAGTCGCTGTTCTTCCTGAGTGTATGTTTTCTCTCTCTAGTGTAGTCTGGCGGTGCTTCAGGGGCAGAGACCATGTCTTTCTCCCCCAAAGCACCCAGTGTAAGAGGTCCAGGGATGGAGCCCATTCTATCTTAGTGGCGTACTGGCCACCGACAGGCTGCTGAGAGATGCCTTCTCATCTGAAGAGTAACTCTGCAGGCAGAAAGCACCCGCGGCTGTCCCTCCTTCTATCAGCCCAGTAACTAGCACTCCTGAGAAGCCACTAGTAGCTGCTCCTGCTCATGTGCTCCAATAACAGCCCAGATGGGAGGTGCCCTGTGAACTCTCACCCTGCTCCTGAAAAAGATCCGAAAGTGCCTAGCCAGCATCTGGAGCCCAGGCAGCACTTAGCCCTCCTCTTCTCCCGCTCTCTCTTGGACTCTAACATCCTCTCCAGCTGAGTGCTGGACCACAAGCTGGTTCTCAACCCCAGCTGGGCTGGCTGGAGATCGTGAGCACTTTGTCACTTTTTCCTAGCCCCTCCTTACCACCCGAGGTGCACCCCACATCTGGCTTTCCTCACTTGGCTCTGTGAGCTATGCTTCCTGACACAGAGTGAGTAGGAGCTATCCTTCTGCCAGGCTGGCCACAGCTCCCCATCTCTGAGCCACTGATACCTCCCAATGTTTGACCCCAACAGCCCCAGATTGGTTCTACAATCTCAGCCAAACACCATCCACAGGCACAATAATGAAACTACGATTTGCAGAGCACCACCCCTGCACCAGGCCCTCTCAAGAGCATTCCCTCATTTAATTCCCATGGCAACCCTCTGGGAAGGTGTTAATACTCCAGCTTATGACCAGTAAATAGCCTCAAAAAGATGGCACTGATAGAAGAGTTGGGCTCTGATTCTGTGTCCATTTGCTCCAAGGACAATGCCCCTTCCTCTGTGCCACCAGCAGCCCCAGCCCTGGAAAGAAAAGCATCATCGTGGCCCCAGCTGAGCATCTGAAAGCCTCAGGTTTCCTCTGTGAGAGGAGAATGGGCAGAATGGGTGTGGGAGGAGAGGGACATCCTTGGGTGCTCTGCCCTGCCTTTTCTTATTTAAATCGAAGTGGTTCAAGTCCTGCATCTCCCTGGGGTAGGAAACCCTCCATCTGCCCTCCCTGTGCCCATGTACCCAGGGCTTCTTGGATGGGGTTGGGGGAATTCATGTGTGCTTTTCCTGTGATGATCTACCTCCCTCCAGTTCTTTTCTCCCCTACCTTCACACTTGTCTCCTACAGCAGCTCCTTTCCCCCAGGCTCCATGACTCGAACTGTGGACCACAACCCTGTACATTGCTTTCCCCCTGACACTGCTCACAGCATACTTTGGTGATAGTGCAGATATGTGAGTAATGCACTGGGGAGAGGGAGAGGCCATACCACGCCCTGCACAGCAGGCAACAGGGAGGTGAAGCATACACACGCCTGGTAACGGCCCACCAACCTTGCCACTTCTCTCCTAGGTCCACCGACCTAGCAGCAGGTCACCAGCCCAATCCCTGATGTCAAGCACTAGCACATCCCAAACTTCAGAATGTTGACCTTGCCCAGGGTCACAGAAGATTTTTTCACTTTTCTCAACGCCCTTCATGCCCATATCTTTACATTTTCTGAGACTCATCGATCTCCCCACTCACACATCAGTCACTGGGCATGTTCTGGGTACCCATACCCATGTCAAGCACTGTGAGAAAGGAAAAAGGAAAGCCTACACCCCAAAATACCCTGTACTTAGAAGAACGTTGTGAATCAAGTATTGACTCCATTGAGCAGATGAGGAACCAGAGCTCAGAAAGCCACATGGTGAGAAAGCGGGGCAAGAAAGGGGCTGGGTCTGCCTGGACTCTGCCCTTCCCTGCCCTGTAGACAGAAAGCCTATATAAAATGTCCTCAGACTCTCGGGTGCCTGGGAGGTTGTAGAAACTGCTCTTCTAGTTGACCATGGAGACACAGAGGCAGCCAATCCATCCCCTCAGGCTCTCTGCAGATGTGTTGGCCGAGAGAGGACTGGGGGTTGTCCCCATCTCCATATGAGCATTCAGAGGTGTCCAGTCCCCCTCCTCATGCTACCTGCTACTCCGTGGCAATGTTCACCTAGTCTGCTCTGTGTCACACTCCAGGAGAAAAATGGGCTCTCCCTTGATCTGTCAATGGCAACAAGCCTCCTCTCCCAACAGCACATAGTAGAAAAAAGCTGGGCTTTGAGTCAGGGTGTTCAGCATTCATAGCCCAGCTCTGTCATTTTTCATCTTTTAGACCATGAGCAAACCCCAAAATCCCCACAGGCTCAAAGCTCCATCCTAGCCCTTCTCTTCCAGCATTGTTGAGAAGATTCGGTGAGTTTCAGGGTCTGAATATGGTGAACTTGATAAATAAAGCCTGTCTTCATCCCTCCCTCTGCTCCACATCCCCCTCTTTACCATGTTCACCCCAAAGTTGAACAATGTTGAAGCAAAGTAAGAGTGAGAAGGCACATGGCCCCAGGTCACCTGCAGAACTGCCACCATCTGCTTCCACCCAGGAAGCTCATCTGCACACTAGGGCCTATGCTAGATGGACAACAAAATGGTCCCAACTCTCTGTCCTTCAAGGCAGCCACTCCCTTGGCAATGTGACTTTCCAGTTCCCCCCTCAAGAGCAGTCTTCCATCTAGAGGAGGAGTCTCTTTCCCCTGCCTGTTGAGCTGACTTCATGGCTTGCTCTGGACAAGAGATTGCAGTAGAAGTCACAATGCACCAGGTCTGAGCTCAGGCTTCAAGCAGCCCTGAGCACTCACACTTGGTCTCCTGGAACTCCGCTGCTGCCACATGAATAAGCCTGGGCTAGTGTGCTTGTCAAGGGGCAGGCTCATCACCCCAGCTTACAGCTGGCCAGTGCCATCCTCACCAGCCAGCCCAGATGCATGAGCCAGCCCAGCTGAGATCCAGTGAATCTAACCCAGGTCTGCTGACCACTAGGTTCATGAGTAACAACACATGCTTACTGTTGCATGACACTGAGTTTTAGGACACACAGCTAGCTGATGCAGAGCCCTTCTTCTCTCCAAGGGGACTGGCAGCTCAAGCACAGATGGCAGGTGACCAAGGCCAGATTCCTACCAGTGATGTAGACAGGAGGCCAGGAAATACTGGGTAGAAGAGGGAAGTTCCCCAGCAAAGGCTCCACCCTCAAGCCTGGAAACTCACAGCCCTAAATGGGAACAGTCATTCCTGTTTTCACACACAAATGTTGCCTTTTGGCCTGCCATGCCTGTACCCATATAAACCCCAAATCCCAGGCTCCATAAGCAGAAGGGCAGAGGAACAGAAGAGCGACACAGTAGAGAAGGAGAGGAGAGAAGGAGCATCTGAATGTCGAGAGGAGTTCGGTTGGAGACAGTCAGAGAGAAGATCAGCTGCAGGATGGTAGAATTCCAGGGGAATATAGTCTTCCCACTCCAACCCCTTTCCAGCTCCCCATCCATCCTACTGAGAGCCACTTCCATCTGGCAATAAAATCCCCTGCATTTACCATCCTTTAACTTGTCTGTGTGACCTGATTCTTCCTGGTTGCCAGACAAGGATCTGAGTACCAAGAGGGCGCTGAGCTGGTTAACGCTTAAGCCATCTGCAGATGGCAGGAGCTAAAAGAGCACTGTAACATGCCCACTGGGGCTTTGGGAGTCACAGGCACCCACCCCTAGTGCTACCGTGGGGCCAGAGCCCAAAAGCGCTCACCCCAGTTCCTGCACCTGCCCGTCTGCGTGCCCCCCATCCCGTAAGGAGCAAGCAGCCAAACAAAGGAGCCACGTCCCTATCACACGTCCTGCGAGTGGGGTCAGGGAACTCTCTTATCTCACCGGCACCAGGAGAGGGCTCTGTTTAGGGATGCCATGTGCAGAGAATGGCACCAGATGTGGACTACATGGCACAGATAGCTTCTCTGAGATAAATTCATACCAATTTAGATAATCTCTCTCATTTCTGCCTCTCATGACCCGCCCCCTCCCCCTGCATCCCACCACGTCTTCTTACAGCTTCCCCGCTGAGCTCCCCAATCAGCTCTTCAGTCAACAAGCAGGCTGACTCACCTCAGGCTCAGAGGCGAGGCCCCCCCAAGGCTGAACACCCTTGGGGATCCGGGAGCAGAAAGGGTAATTGAGCCATTTCGGCTGCTGCAGGCTGTTTCCCTTTGTAAATGCCTATTTCTCATGTCTGCTGCCTCCTTGGCCAAAGGGGCTACCTGCTAATAAGCCATAGATACTCTGCAGGGAGGAGCTGACACTCTGCTCCGCTATTTAATGACCCACAAAGGAAGGAAAGGCCACCAGGTGTCTTCAGGCCCATGCTTCAGGTTCACAGTTCTCTTTGACCCCAGACAGGCCTCCCAGACAGTCTCTGTAAGGCTTTCAGCACCCCAGAGCACCAAGAATGGGATGGCATGATTTGAGATGGAACTCAAAATAGAAACAACAGCCAACCAGAAAATAAACACCAGAAAGTCCAGCGGCACTCAGGCCTTTTTCCCTGATGATTGCTTAGATGCTCCTTTGAAATATCAAAAATCAAACATTAAATTCTTACAATGTTTTACTTGGGCACTCCTGCTTGGCTGGAGTGTTAAGAATGTGTTTCATTTGCCCAGTGGGCAATCGAAGTTCTAGACAACGTTTGTGTGGGGACAGAAGTCGGTGCTCCTGGGGTCCCACCCTCCATCTGTTTACCAACCATAATGCATGGCCCCTGAAAATGTGATTAAGAAAGATTAACAGGCCCCAGTTCCTGCCCTTAGCATTCCCAGATCACACAAGGAGGGAGATGCAATAGAGGGTCACAGCACAAGCAGTGGGTGCAGGGCTAGCTCTGGGATGAGGTGGCAATGGAGGTGTGTTCAGGAGGCAGCAGGCTCTGAGGGATGTGACAGTGCTGTCATGGAGAGGGGACAGTGGACTAGGATGCCAGAGGCCTGCAAGACCAGTGCTGGCTGACACCGGGACAGAGCTCACAGCAGCTTCCCCAGCACTCAGGGGCTTTGGAAAGATGAGCAGGATGGTGGGGACAGAGGAGGAAAGGGACAGAGCCATGTAGAGCCTCAAACACAGATCCTAACAGGACAGCTCTCTGTTCCCTTCCTGAACTCAGCCAGGCCCCGCGTTCTGGCTGCCTCTTGAAGCCGCTGAGTTCCAAGCCCATCTGAACAAAATCTAGAAACATTTCTTTCTTGTGACCTTATTTCTAAGAATTTCTAAGAGAAAATGTAAATTTCTCAGACTGGAAGCACTTTTGCTAAAGTGCTAAGGCTTTAAAATCTGTAAACAGTGGGATATAATTAAATGCAAATGCAGGGCCATATTCAAAAATTAATCTCCTATAATTAATTAGTAATTTAAAATATTCTGGTAAATGATACTTAAATGGCACAGAATTATCCTAGCTCTGAGTGATAAAGTCGTCTGCTAAAGATTTACCTTGTTAGAGTGAGAAATATTTGCATATATCATGTGGGACAACAGAACGTTGAGATTGCTAATTTACCTTTGCTATAAATGTATTAAAAAGCACAGTCTTTATATTCAAATTGCGGGAGCTTCACTCACTGCAGCAAACTCTGAGAAGCAATTGATTTGAAGACAGGACTAAACCCAGGCTGGGCTTCTATGAAGGATCAAATTGACCTCCAGGCACACTCCATGCCTGGGAAGCCAATCTGGGAGAGGTGTTGGGAGTGGCCCCTTCCACCTTTTTCCTTAACCTAACTCCATCCAGCCTGGATGAAAAGTGACATCTTGTACCAGAGCAACGGAAAGCTGTCCAACTAACCAGCTTTTCTCTCTGCTGTTCTTTCTCCTGTTCTTCCCTCTACAGAAAGAGATCACTGGTATCTAACTGCAGAGGTCAATGCCATCTGCTGCAACTGTCACTGGGTAGCTGCCATTTCTTTTCCAAAGACAGAATACCTCTCCCAGACTGTTCTGCCACCAGCAATGCTCTCCTCCTGGTGGATGTGTATGCATATTGATGTGTGGATCTGCACAGGTGCATGTGTTTGTGTGTGTGTCAGTGCCTGTTGGGCTGTGCCAGTCTGAGGGTCTGGTTGTACCAGTGTATGTGGCTGCTGGTTGTATCATTGCATCAAGCTGTGTCCATGTGTGCATGTGTGTGTGTGTGTGCACAAATGCATGCCTGGTCTCCCACACCTTTCTCCACTGCTGCTTACCACCACCACACACGCTGATCTCTCTGCACCCCACACTCCACTGCCATGTGCCACAGCTGGGCCCAGGAACGTCCCACCTGCAGGAGCAGCCCTGGCCTCATTTGCTGAGCCACCCAGGCCTAAGGCAGCACTCTTAGGCAAATGTAAGCCTTCCCACTAGCCAAAGTTTTCAGACCAAAGCCCTTGCTGATGTGCTGGCCTAGGAGTTGTTTACCAGCCAAACAGGCAACCAAAGTACACACACACAAAAACAGCTGACCCCATTTCTATTGGAAGTAAGAAATATTAAATTCCCATTCATTTAGTCCTTCAACACTACTGTAGACAAGGTCCCATGCTGCTCTCAGGAAATAAAATGGTGAACATCACACAGTCCCTGGCCTACAGGCAGCACGTTCTAGTTACAGGGACAGATTATCCAACATCTGCAGGACATACAGAAACGGATGGTGCCTGGACATCAGGGCTGGGCAGGCTGCCCCGCCTCCTTGTGAACTGGAAAGAAGGAGCAGCAACTCTTCTCCATAAAGAAAACAAACAGTTTAAAATCATTTAATTTTTCCACTCTTTCCAGTGGAACAAAAGACTAGAAGGGAGAGGAGGAAATACAGAGGAAACAAAAGGAAAGAGGGAGGCCTATGTACGGTAGAGACAGTGGCATAGAACCAATAAATAAGAGGTGAAAGGACAAAGCCCTGGAGTCCTCAAAATGCCCATGGACACTGAGAGAGGCCTTAGTGGATGACAGCCCTGGGGCACAGCTGCTCTGCCAGCCACTGGAATGCCCACCAGTGGCATGGTGTGTGGCCACGACTTTCCATATCATAGCCAGTCTTGGAGAGGAGGAGGCACTGCCTCTGAATTCCATGCCCCTCAGCATTTGATAGGGTTCCTCATCCATAGGAGGCTCCCAATTGGTACTTGCTGGGTGAGTAAGTGATTGGATGATGGATGAGTAGATGGACAGATGAATGGATGAACGGAGAGAGAGGTGGATGACAGATGAATAGATGAACAGAATCCCTCCAGGAAGTTGAGATGAAGCCCAGGGCCAAATGACTGTGGACTGGAGTTCTCCCCATCAAGCCTGACCTGGAGAAGAACAACAATAAGACATGTAAACTGTAGGGCGTTAACCTCTAATACCCTGAAAAGGACCCCAAGAACACATCAGTCCTGAAGTCTGGATTTCCTGCCCCAGGCTAGGGAGCCCTCCCTGCTGACATCCCAGCCTCAGCTCCAGCCACTCCCTCCCCTGCACACCCATGACTGCAACTGCATCACACACAAGTTCCTGAATACAGTAGGGATCCCCTGACCCCTCTCTCCAGCCCTTCCTTGTTCACAGAGTTAGTGCAAGTTCATTCCTACAGACCCAGACCCAGAGTCACCTAGTCCAGGAAGCTTCCGTTGACCTTCTGATGATCCCATCTCTCCCTGGCCAGAGGACATCACTCTGTCTTCCGTGCTCTTACAAGACTTGGCCACACCTCTGCCATTACAGGTAAAAGGGTCTGTTCATACCTCAGTCCTCCCCACCAAGCTGGGAGCCCTGTGAGAGCAGGGACAACAGCCTACATGCCCACATAGAACTTGGCACAGGCTGGGGCTCAGTAAATGCTGGAGAAGTGACAGGAAGAGCCATGAGCAGAAGAGAGAAAGCTCCAGCAGCCACCAGCAGGATTCCCAGAGCAAGGCCCCTCTCAGCAGCTGCTGCCTTGGTCACTTCAGCAATTGCATGGGCCATGATCCCCAGCTGGTGAGGAAGCTGATGGGCTTGCATGAGGAGAACATCATAGGTAGTTGTCACTGTGCACTGAAGTCCCACTTAGCAACCTGTAGCCCAGAGAAGAACCAAGGCCCAACTAGGATCCAATGAGTCCAATCCACTCCCCAGTTAGGGTATGATTGGAAAGAGCCACCCACACTCACATGGAGGGCTCCAAGGTCAAGCTCAAGGCAGAACAGGCCCCCCTGGAGGAAGGGACATTCCATGGCCTGTACCCTTGGCAGTCCCCAGAGCAGCCCCATGGTGCCCCCAGGCCTGGGATCCGGAGACCTGAGTTCTATCACCCTCAGCCCCATCCTCCCTGAGGGGAGCCTCTCCACACCTTTTTAAGATGATGCAGTGTTGTGGTGGCTACTAAGATGGTGCTGAGGAGGCCTCAGAGGATGAATGTGGAATAAAGACTGAGCGAGGGATGTGAGGGGTCTCTAGGTGGGGCCTGACACACAAGCCCACAGGGTCCCCAGGCAGGCCCCAGCACCTTGGCCTGCCACAACTCTTCCACTCACCCACTCACTGCCAAGGCCAGGCTCACAGAACCTGCAGGCCCCGACAGCAGAGCCCCTCGTGAAGCGGAATCACAGAGAGGCTGGTGGTGCCATGTGCCCCCAGGCCAACAGCCACCTTCAGTGAATGAATGCCATTTTGCAAAATGTAAAAGATTCAAGCAGCTCCGTCTTCCTCACTCACTCCCATTTGGCTAGGCTTTTTGAGTAGGGAAGAGGAGAACTTACAACTAGGAAAGCCCCATAGCCCATGCCAACTCCAGCTCATCTGTACCATCCCGGATGCTGCATAACATTGACATGCAGTTGATGTGTTGGGGGTGCTGAGGAGACATTTACTCCTCCTTAACTGTGCTTTGGGCTTCATAAAATTCAGGACATGTTCTGGCAGTGTGTCATCCTTGTGAACATCGTTTGTCCTTGTCACAACAAAGAGGAGGTTGGGTCAGTCTGCTCAAGAAGCCCATGCAATGCCTCCAGGTGGTGAGGAAGGCTTCGTGCAGGGACAGCATTCCCAGGTGTTCCTAGGGGACCTACTGGGCTAGCCAGTCAGATAGCTCATGTTTACTCCAGAATCCACATTTCTTCCCCACCACACTTAGGAGATACGTTAAAATGCTTTGCGTATAAGCACCCTGAGAACCTCTGCCAAACCCTGGCCAGAGACAGTGGAACCATATCTTCCCCGATGAAGCCAGCATGCCCTATTTCCCCACTCCAGCAAGTGCAGTGCTGTACACTGATATTCCTGGAATCATCACAGATGGAAGAGAGGGGCTCTGGAGGGAGTAAAATCCGGACTTGAATCCTGTTCAATGCCTAAGTGGCTATTTGTGTGACCTTAAGTAAGTCATTTAACATCTTTAGCTTTTCCATTTCCTCTGTCTGCAAAGTGTGAGGATTAGAGAATGCACAAAGGGCCAGAGCCATCGTGGGCACCCAAGAAACCTCAGCTTCCTCCCTACTAATGACAGGCGCATGAGAACAGGGATCAAGACTCTTATCATCGGCGGAGACTGAAGACTACGGTGGGAGCTGTTGGCCCAAAGTCCAAATGCCATCGTTCCCCTCAATCTCCTGCCAACAATCCCAGGGACTTGACTGACGTTAAGAGTCCAGCAAAAGAAACTGTAGAATACTAGAGGGTGGGGGATTTAGAAATGACCTATTGGATACTATTCTCACCACCTAGGTGATGGGATCCGTACTCTAAACCTCAGCATCACACAAGATTCCCATGTAACAAATCTGCACATGTACCCCCTGTACCTAAAATAAAAGTTGAAATTTAAAAATAAAATAATGGTCTGACAAAAAAAAAAGTGGCCACCCCAGAGCCTTCCCCATTCCCATCACACCCAGCAATGCAAGCAGGACAAAGCAAGCCCAGCGAATCCACCACTGCAGGCGTTTGCATAATTAACCACTTGGCAATAACATCCTTAGGCCAGTCTTAGTTATGTGTTAAATCCTCACAGGGCTAGAAACAGGAAGGGGCTAAAATCCTCTAGAACGAAAATGCATGAATATGTGCAGTGAAAAGAAAACAGATGCTTCTTGAAAAGCTATATGCTAAATGCTTTATCATAGCTGTCTCCTTCATCCCTTTTAACAGATGAAGAAACAGAGGCTAAGACGGTGATGCAAATGGCCCAAGGTCACACAAATAATAAGTCAAGGAGCTGGGACTTGCCCCCACATCCATTCAACTCCAAAGCCAATAGTCTTTCCACCCCCAAGCTTCACAGCAGAGCAAGAAGGAAAGGAAGCAAGGGGAACGGGCAAGGAATTGGCAAGAAGCAAGAAGGGAGGGGGCCAGCGATGAGATTAGTCGATACCATCACCAGTACAGAATCCAGCTGGGGAAATACTGCAAGAAGAGCCATCCCCTGAGCAGACTTTTGCAAACACACAGCTGGGTATATTCTGAGAAAGAATGGACATGTTAGTGCTGCTAATCCCAGGCTGTCCATTACTGGACTGAATCACTTCATACAGGGCAACATGTTCTGGTGAAAATGCCGGGAGCCGACAGGACATCACAGCCTGGCGGACCACCGGCGTGATTCGGGGCCTGATTAGCAGAGAGCATCAGGGCTGCCGGCCAGTTGTACCACATTAAGCATTCCAAATTTTAAGTTCCCCAGCAGTGGGCTTTGGGCTGGCTCCTGATGCATGAGGTAGCATTCTGAGTAATAATTAATTAGAAGGAAAAGCAGAATAAGCAAGCAAAGTACATCAAATGGAATTAGTATAATGTCATGTTTCACTTCAGTTTACTTTCAATCAGAGAGGGCCAACAAGGTGACTGGGGTTGTCTGGAGAATCTGCAGGGAGCCCTTGGCCACCCTGTGACCTGTTCAATCTGCCTCTGCTCCCAGGCATACCACATCCCCAGCTCACCCCCCAAAACCAACCCAGGCCAGAGGGAGACCTGCCAACTCCAGCCTCTCACCTCTCTGCCATTAGACTACCTGGGCCAGCGCCAATCAGCCAACTCATAGGTTATTTCTAGTTTCTTCTCAAATTAATGGATTCTTTACAAATGAATGGATTCTTTACTAACCAATGGATTCTTAAACTGATGGGCCCTGTCTTCATTAGAAGGCTCCAACCTCGAACAGAGATGTTTTTAAAAGAAATTCACACTGATTATTAGCCCAAGTGCCAAAAAAATAAGAACATCTAATGTATCCTTCAACGATAGGCAAAGACACCTCCTCCAGGTGCTAAGAAATCCCAAGGCAGACCTACCCACCTCTGCAGAAAGCTGGAAATTTATTTTATCCCTAGAGGCTTACACCTGTCAACAAAGAGAGGAAAATTAAAAAGAAAAAAAAAAGGGCTGAGTCTTGCCTCAGAAATCTCTGTCAGTGACTTGTAAACAGGCTTCCACCAGCCTCCCCACAGCTCTTCAGAGGCTGGGCAGGCCTTGACTCACCTGTCAGGGAACTATCAGGAGCCAAGTAGTGCTCAGAGAATCCCCCCTTACAGGCTGAGTGCTGTGGGCCGAGCACCTACGGGTCTCCATGTCCGTTTAGGCCATGCGTAAGACGACTGTGCCCTGCAGCCCACCTGAACCATCTTCTGCAGAGCCCTGGGCACCAGGCCCCTGAGGCCTCAGGCCCCCATGACCTACCTCGTTGATGAAGGAGTGGGCTCCCTGTGGGCTGAGCAGCAGGATGGCGCGGCGAAGCGTGTCCCGGTAGCGATTCAGCTCCTCTGTCTTCATCGTGGTGAAGAGGCTGGTGAATACGTGGCTAATGTTCTTGTCCACCTTTTGTAAAGAGACGTCAAGGCCCAGCCGCGAGGCCTGGTCCAGAAAGCTTTGAAGCCCACGGATATCTGAGCAGTGAGAGAAGAGGAGGAAAAGAAAAATCATCTTTAAGTGGGAATGCACCCGGGAGGGTGTCTAACTGCAACACGTTCCACCCATGCAGGCCACCACGAAAAATGAGGGTCCAAGTCAGCCTCAGTGATTCCCGTAAACAGAGGTTGGAGGACGCCGGCGTAGACCCAGCAGCGTTCACCAGTGTCCAGCCCTGGCTGACTGTCTCCCCCTACAGGTTGGATGCCATCCAACAGGTTCTATGGCCAGAAAGTGCCCTTGATTCATGACAAGCTCTCTTTCTTTCCCTATATGGGCCCAATCACGGCAATTCTGGCCTTCAGGTCACATTTGCTGGCAGTCCCTGGCCCTAGCATCCCCAGTCCCCTTCACCTCCCTCTGCTCCCAACATGAGGCTCCTAGACCAACCATGGCCAGCTGAGGCCCCTGACTGGAGCGGGCCTGGCCTCAGCAGATAGGCAGTGCAAGCCCTCAGTCCCTGCACCAATCCTGCCAACGCACAGCCTGTATCATGGCACCCCAGCCTGCATCATGGCACCCCAGCCCTGAGGCATGGGACCCTGTCTGGCTTTAGGGACCTGATTTTCCTTGATAAAACATTCCTCCTGCCTGTTTCCAGCTGGAGTGACTCTCACTCCAAGTCCAGTCAGAAGCCCACATCCTGACTGGATCAGGGATGAGCAGGGGGTTCAAGGAGGTACAGAGAGAGCCCATCCTGGCACGTTGGTGATCACTGGGAGAGAGGTCTGTCGGCACAAACCACCCAGGGATGGACGATTCAACAAGAAGGGACCTGGAAGCCAATATAGTTGCACTGCACACTGCTACAAATCTATCCTTGTGAGGCCTGAGGGTGCTAAAGTTTTTTCATCCAGTGCCAAAATCATCTCTTAGCAGCAGCCTTGTAGAAGCCATTTGGCTTTCCCAAAAAGAGACATGCCCAGGAACAGAGGCAGGCGGGTCTGAGAGTGAGACACGGTCCTGACAATGTCATTTTCAGCCCCTGGGTGCATGTGAGGCTGAAGCCTGTTTCTCCCGAACTTTCCAGTTCCATGAGCCAGTGAATGCCTTTGTTTGCCTAAGGTGGGTCACGTGCAGCCCAGAGTCTCAATCCACAGGCCATTTTTTCACAGCCTTGGATGTTTCTTGTGTCTGGCCCATCCTTGCATTCCACCTCCCATAAGCAAGAGCCGTGCCTGAGTCACACCCTCCAAAGGATACTCTAGGTCTGCCCAGACCCACAAGCTGCACTGTCCCCATGCCCTGGGATGCCCACAGGCACGGCCTGGCCCATGCAGTCACCAAGAACAAAATCCAAATAAACAGTGTTAGTTCCACCAGGGTTTGTTCCTAACCTGTCCCTCTCCAAAACTCTCTCTGTACTAATTTTGCAAACTTTCTGGTATACACTCATGCCAAGTGCCATGCAAGCTGCTGCAGGAGTCCCAGGCTCCCTGTTGTGCCAAGAGGACAGGCTCACCACTAAGCGTAGTCCCAGCTGGACTGTGTGACAGGAGCCATCATGGGGAACCAAGCAGCGCGAGGGAGAAGAGCAGAGCACCATGGCCATCGTAATGAGGGTGCTGGGGGCTGTGCACAGGGCCCCCCTTACCACTACAAAGGGAAAGCCCTAGACTAGGGCCTCAGCACCTGCCACGAACTCCGACACTTAGGACTCAGTACAGTCTCTGAAGCCCTCAGGCAAATCACTATCCCTTTTGAGCCTGAGGGGCTGTCTGTAAAATGGGGTGAAAATCACCAACTACCATTTTCCTGGGACTCTGAAGAACCACACTTCCTGTGCAGGCCACCTGCTTGTGTCTCAGGAGCCTGCACCTGGGAGTACGGGGAGCCCACCTCCTGTTGGTGCATGGGGAGGGCACAGCAGCATACAAATGAGAACCCTGGGGGCTCTCTAGAGATGGCAAATGCATGATCACCCAACCATGACCTCAGCCAGCCCCTTGTCCATCAGCAGCCTGGTCCCTGGAGCACAGCCATGTGACCAAACCCACTGGCTTCACAAAGAACAAGGGTCTCGGTGTTGCTCTGCCCACTGTGTCAGACAGGAAGGAGAGCCAGCCCCAGGGCCGAGATGAAGTGGCCAGCACAGGGCTCCCCCAAAGTGAAGAAAGGTAGCCAACTGAGGACAATATGGTGCCTTACACCTGCCCCAGTGCTCCAGGCCCCCAACACACAAGCCCCAGGCTGTCAACACCCTTGGGGTTCCCAGAGAGGCAACTCAGTCTCCATCAGTCTGTTCAGGGCCATGGGGATCTGTAGCTCCCAAGCTTCTTGAAAGAAAAGGTGAAGAAGATAAAGACCTCTTCTTAACCAATCAGAGGGAGTAGCAGGGCAAGTGTGCAGAGATGGCTCAGGAGCCCCAACCAGAAACACCAGCACTGGTATCAGCCCCAGTCCTGCCCTCTCTGGAGCACAGCACAATGCAAATCTGTCCATCATCAGCTGGAGGACATCTCAGCACCCAGCGGCCACCCACACCAAAACCAGCAGTGGGCAGCTGTGCTGGGCACATAACAGCCTTCCACGGGTGCCAATGAGGGTTTCTCCCTGGATCTAGGCTGTACATAACACAACCTCTAGCCATATATGGCCATTAAAACGTCAATTAATTGAAGAGAAACACAATTACATGCTCAGCTCCTCAGGTGCACTAGCTACATTTCAAGTACTCAACAGCCACATCTGGCTGGTGGCTACCATGTTGGACAGCACAGATATAGCTCATATGAGATGGATCATCACAGAAAGTCCTATTGCCTGGTACTGCCTGGAGAAACCGCCTTTAACCAGTGTGGTGTAAACGATATTCCTAAATATGGGAGACTGGCTGCCTTCAGGCCCCTGGCAAAGGCTCCTAATCCCAGGCTTTTTGTTCTGTCACTGTGAGGACTCCTCTAGCTCCAGCTCCAGCTCCGGCCTCAGCCAAGTGACCCGCTTTGACTATGGGACAGTAGTAAACTTGACGCAAACAGAGGTTGAAAAAGTGTTTGTGCATTTCCATTTCCACTCTTGAACCATGCCACCACCATGAGAACATCTCCAGGCCAGCTGCTGGAGGAATGTGGGGACACATAGGGGAGAGTCAGGCAGGCACCCAGGCAGCCATCCCCAGCTGCAAGCCAGCTGAACTCAGATGCACAAGCGAGCCCAGAGCAGAACTGCCCAGTTGACCTATAGACTCATAAAAAATAATAAATGACTGCTGTTCTAAGTTTTGGGACGGTTTGTTTCCCAGCAATAACAAAGTGATAGATCGAGGTCATTGGATGCATTGTATCTGGTATAGCTTATGAAAACGTTAAGTGAAAAAGCAATGCCTTTACCTTAAAAAACTGCCCTGTCACAGCTTACCTGTGGCACTGTCCACACGGGGCTGAGTGCTAGTCAGCCCCAGGGCAAGGCCACATGTGCACAGGTGGCTTCTGCAGCCCTGCCTCTTCCTTAGAACACCAGTGGTCCTCACTGCCCATGGCCTTGACTGTGACACAGATCCGAGCACAGCTGCAGGATGGGCATAAAGGTGGGACCCTGAGACCTGTCATTTACAAGCTTCTGCTCCTTGCAGCACCTTCTAAGGCCACTGCAAGTCTTTAAAATGGCAGAGACTGGCCATGTCTACAGAGCACACCTTTCTGCACGTTTACATAAGCATGTGTACCATGAGGGCTTGCATGAGTCCATGAGTATGGTAGGGACACCCATGTGGCCCCAGGGACCTTATGCCTCATGCCAGCATGGCCAGTCCTCTCAGTCTGGGGGAAAAGTCTCCTTCAGTCCCTTCCCTGAGCTCCCTCTACCTAAAACCATCTCAACCCACAGGACGGTTTTATTTCTTCAGGGAATAGGAGATGCCATGGGCAAGTAGCAACTGTCTTGGCACCCATGAGTACACAAGAACATGCAAACGGGAGGACATAAGCCCTCAGAGCTCCTCTGCACCTCCCACTGCTGCATTTCTGGCTTCTATTCCAGCAGCCCCTAATGGGACTGAGGGTTTACGATCCATCAGAGACAGTTTATGCTCCTTGCCAGCGGTGGCTCCTCACACCTGAAATCAGTGATGCTGGCTGAAGCCAGTGTTCCTGAGGGACAGCAGCCCCTGGCTACCACTGCCTGCTCCAGTTGGCTGACAAGGTCAACTCTCAGCCTCCTTTCCCTGAAGCTTCTGTCCAGCTGCACTTGGGGTGGGGCTGGAGGCAGAGTAACAGTGAGGAGCCCAAGCCCATGCTGCAGCCCTCCTGCCACTCTCCAGGAATGGGGCCACGGAACCCCACTTCTCCCGCAAAGTCCTTTTCTCCCTTCAAGAAACCAAATTTGTAATCCCACCCTACCCCATCCCCCCAAAAAACCTGACTGTCTGCTGCTGCTGCTCACACAGAGAGAACTCCCCAAGCAGGTAGACAATGAACAGAGCTGGGACTTCCCCCACTGGGCCACACAGTTAGTGCCCCTTCCCCAGAATCCCTTGGCTCCCACAGAGCTCTGGACTTTGTCCCAGGGCCTCCCCAGCAAGCTCCCTGTACACACTGGCCAGCCCCATCCACCATCACCAATGCAGCTTCCACCAACCACACGCACCTCCACCTGCCCCTGGGGAAGTTTGCTGACTGAGGCCTTGTCAGGCCTCGCATCAACCTGATCCAGAAAGGGCATGAGAAAGGCAAGAGCCACCAGGTCTCCAGGCACCCAGGAGAGGCATGGACTCTGGAAAAGGCCACTGGACACTGCAGGGACAGGGAGGAGCTCCCTAGAGAGGAGTCCTGCGCCTTAGAGAAAGGAGGCAGCTCGGGGTGCATGGGCCAGTCCACTCCTGCAAGGAATGCAAGGTGACGGTGCCCAGGTCAGGCCTTGACATCGCCTCTCTGCCTGCCAGCCTCACTGCACCCTCTTTGGGCTCTCAGGGGCCCCATCACCAGGCCTTCTCAATACCCAAGCCTGCCGGAGTCCTGCCAGCACCCACCCGTTCCTTCTTCCCCTAGTACTCACTGAGCACTCTGTGTCTGTCTCTCCCCGGGTACAGGAAAACAAAACTGAATGAACCCCTGGGGTTCTTTATCGCAGAACTTAACATTTCAGAGGCTGAGAACAAGCCAGAACAAATCAATAGCAGGATAGACAAGGAGATAATTTCCAACAGTGAGAAGAGCCCCAAAGAAAATAAATGCTGGATGGGAGGGGACTTCAGGGTGGGATAGGAAAGACCCTGCCTCGGTGAGGAGAAGCAGCTCTGGAAACCCCTAGGAAGAACATTCCAGGAGAGGGGAACAGCACACAGAAAGTTCCAGAATGATGCATCTTTGACATCAAATGAAGAAGATCCTTGCTCGCCCCATGACAAGGCTGGACTGTGGAACTGCCAGGAAAGGAAGCTGAGGGTCAGTGGGCACCAGGGACCATCCATGGGGAGGAGAGGACACAGGTCCCTCCCCGCCTCCACACCAGCTTTCTGACACCTGGCCCTGCTTGCCCGGTACATCCCGGCCGCTCGCCCTCTCCCCCTGCATCAGCCTCCATGACTCTGCTCTAAAGCTCCTGCCAGTCATCAACAAACAAGGGCCCTCCTCGGTCTTTGTCTTCCACGGTTCTCCAGCATCCAGCCTGCAGTCCTGCCTAATGCCCTCTCCCCCTGGGCTTGCAGGCACAATCATATGCCCCTCTGCTCCCACCCGCTCCCCTTCTCCTCCTTCACACGCTCCCGGTCACACTCCCACTAGTCCTAGGTTTCCCCCTGGTACCACCTGCCATGTCTGTTCTCACGTGTCTGAGAACAGCATCACCACACATGTGCTAAGGAAGCCCACATCCTGGACTGGCGGAGGCCTTTCAACTTCTCCTCCTAAACATTTCCCGAGTTCCACTCTCCCTTCTCAGGTTCAGCACTATCACCTCCTCCCTAGGACTCATGCAACAGTGTCCTGCAGGGTCCCCTGACCCTAGCATCTGCCCTCTAATACATTCCACAAGAATGTTCTCTCTTGAGATCATATCTGCTCACAATACAGCCCTCCTCTAAACCTTCAACAAATAACACAATTTATGTAACAGTTGCCAAGAAATTAATATCCTCAAAAGCATCAGTCAATCAAGTTGCAAACAAAAAGTCTTCTAGAGACTTCATTATTGTGCACAAAATAGACTCCAGACATTTTGGGTACCTAAGAGACTGTGGTCCTAACAGCATTTTTTTGAGACAGAGTCTCGCTCTTGTTGCCCAGGCTGGAATGCAGTGGCATGATCTCAGCTCACTGAAACCTCCACCTCCCAGGTTCAAGTGATTCTCTTGCCTCAGCCTCCGGAGTAGCTGGGATTACAGACACCCGCCACCACGCCCGGCTCATTTTTGTATTTTTTGTAGAGAAGGGGTTTCACCATGCCTAACAGCATTTTCTATTTGTTTTTACATTCATCACCTGCCTCCACCACGTCCTCCTCAAACCATGTACCTTGGGATCCAGAAAAAGAAGCTCTTTGCCCACTCCTGGACATCCTCCACATACACACACACACACACACACACACCCTCCCTCCACTGGGATGCTCCCAATTTGAAATTTACAGAGCCCTACTCCTCCATCAAGACCCAGTTCAAACTTCCCCTCTGAGGCCATCTCAGGTCCTCAAGTTGAAATTCATGCCCCCTTCAAATTTAATAATATTAAACAATATTAATAACGTTAAATCATAATATATGGGTAACAGGAGCTAGGCCTTCCTCATTTGTGTTCTTTATCAAACCCCAAGGCTTGGTGCCTAGAACAGAGTCAGAAACAGTAAAAGTTTATGGAATCAAGTTGAACCACAGCGGGAACCTGCCTGAAGCCCGGCGTGACTTCAGCAGCCACACGATGACCACGTAGCCGGTGGAGGCAAAGCCCTACTTGGTAAGGAACTGAAGTTGGGGAAATAATTTTTTCAAAATCTAAGGTTATAATTGTGACTATCCCTCCACTCCCTCTGAAAAAAATCAGATAGTCACTGGGTATTTTTAATACTTTCTTTCTGAAAAGTAATTGAAGCGAAAGAAGACATTTCAAATTGCTTCCCCTACTATTTTCAATTTCTGAGAAAGGCCCAGGCACTGAGAGTACTTATAGAGAATATTTTACCATCTGTAATGTACATATATATACATGAAGGCTGCCACCTCACACGCAGAAGAAATTCACAGTTAAAAGTGTTTTTGGATTATTGGCAAATTTTCCAAAGGCTGAGACACAACTTTGATTCCATAGACTTTTTATTTTTACTTCTTTCTTACCTGAGCCCCCAAAGATATGCTTTGAATTTCTTCCCAGATGTACTTTACCCATAATTCAAATTCATTTCTAAGAGCCCTACCCAGCCTCCTCTCTTTCATTGCACATTCCCCTCCCACCACCAGCTCCTAATGTCACCATAGTTGTTGCAAGCGGAGCAGGTATGATGGCAGCAGCGTCTGCCATTTCCAAGGGAACCCAAAGAACTACCTGCTGTGGCTCCAATCACAGGGATACCCTTGCCCTCTGCCCGCTGGAATCCATCTGGAGCCTCACCTCCCCACACCTCACACCTCAGCTTCTCAGCTATGCATTTCCTCTTCCTCCCTTCCCGCCCTCTTCCTTCCTTCCTCATATATTTCCTGAACACTGTCCTGGGCCAGGCCCTATGCTTGGTTCCAGAGCAGCAGAATTTTAAAACTTCACAGCCCTGTCCTGGAGGAGCTCTGGGTCCTGAGGGTAAGACTGACGCTGACCCTGAAGAAAGGAGTGGCTCCCTTCTGCCACTTACTGAGTACCTCCTATTGCCAGAATGTGTTCCATTTGCAGACAGTACTTCATAAATAAATGAAGTCCCTGCAATCGATCCATGCAGGCGACTCTCTGTGGAAGTCAGCGGGGCACCAAGCAGGCCCAGGGGCAATTCAGCAAAGGTATGGCACATCCAGCAGCTGTTGGTAAAATTGGAAGCAGGCCTCCCCCATCATAGGGTGACAAGGTCCCCCAGAGCCTAGGCAAGGGCTGCATTCAGGTGAGTAGAATGATGGTGTCCTGCCAGATTCAGCAGCAAAGGGCTACTGCTCTAAGTCTACTTGCCCAAGGTCTCATCTGAGAGCGTCTTGTCTGGGAGGGAGGGCTCTCCTGTCCCCATCACAATCCCAGCTCCCCAGACAACAGTCATGGCAGGCCTGGCCCTGAGGTCCTCCAGAGTGACATCCCATCCCTCACCACAAAAAGCTCTACCCTCTGTATTAACCATATCATTTTTCCAAAGATACGTACTTATTTATTTTATTTAACTTTTGTTTTAGTTTCAGAGTGTACCATATGGAACCAAAAAAGCCAGAAGAACCAAGACAATCCTAAGCAAAAAGAACAACGCTGGAGGCATCACATACTTGACTTCAAACTATACTATAACGCTACAGTAACCAAAACAGCATGGTGCTGGTACAAAAATAGACACATAAACCAATGGAACAGAAAAGAGGGCCCAGAAATAAAGCTGCACACATACAACCATCTGATCTTCAACAAAGCTGACAAAAACAAGCAATGGGGAAAGGACTCCCTATTCACTAAGTGGAGCTGGGGTAACTGGCTAGCCATATGCAGAAGACTAAAACTGGACACCTTCCTTATATCTTTTACCTTTTGATGCTTTGACATCTGGGGCCTCACTTACCCTGGAGGGCCTGTCTCTCCCTGCGTTAGTAAACAACTTGCTCCAGAGCATGCCTTTTATCTGCAAACCAACCAATCCAGAGCCCAGAACCCCGACCACATTTTATATTGGGATCTCACACTCAGGGCCACTATATACTTGTCCTAATCACCCCAGGGCCAGGTACCAGACAACCAAGGACACCTCTATGCCCCAGAGCCCACTGGGCTTACTCCCACCAGCCAATCCTAAGCCCACCTACTCTGCCTCACCTGTTCCTCCCCATGGAAAGCACAGCCGACTCTTGACCATAGTTTCCCCCCTCCTCCTTTCTGCCTCCCTGTGGGACCTGCTGGCAAGGCAGGCCCTCTTCTCTGGGAATCTGCAAGTATAACAAACAGTCTTTTCAATGGTAGTCATCTCCTAATCTATTGGCCTTGCCATACCTAAATCATAATAAAGCCTGTATTAAAACTCCCATACTCCTTGCAGCACTCTGCAATAGCCAAGACAGGGAATCAGCCTTGGTGGTCACCAGCCGATGGATGGATGAAGAAAACGTGGTGTACATGCACAATGGAATGCTCTTCAGCCTTTGAAAAGAAGGAAATCCTGTCATTTGCAACAATGTGCATGAGCCTGGAGCAGATTATGCTAAGTGAAACAAACCAAACCTAGAAAGACAAATACTGCATGATCTCACTTATAAGTGGAATGTGAAAAAGTTGAACTCAGAAATAGAGAATAGAAAGGTGGTTACCAGAAGCTGGGGAGTTAGGGGACTGGGGAGATGCTGGTCAAAGGAGGTGAAATTTCAATTAGACAAGAGGATAAGTTCAAGTGATCTATTGTATAAATGTTGACTATAGTTAATAACAATATATTGCATATTCGAAAATTCATAACAGACTCGATTTTAAGTGTTCTCACCACAAAAAAATAAGCATGTGAGATAATGCATATGTTGATTACCTTGAGTTAGCCATTCCACAATGTATGCATACATCAAAACATGTTGTATACCACAAAAAAAATACAACTTTTACTTGTCAAAAAAAAAGGAAAACACTATCTTCCATGGTAGTCTGAGATTCAGAGATTAGGAAAAGGCACGGAGAAGCAGCCCCACTGCCCTGCTCCCCCAGGGGTGCACAGAATAAGCACAAGCCTGGGTTCACTATCTGGGTGATCCTGGACAACCACCTCTCTGAGCCTATTTCCTCACCTGCAAAGCAGAGCCAACCCCACCTTCCTCCTAGGAGACCTTAGATCCTTCAGCAAGGGGCATACATCACAGCTGGCACAGTGCAAAATAGATGTTCAGCGGCTGTCAGCTCCCTTCCAACCTTCTCAACAGCACAGGGAACGCCCCCAAAAGGGCTCTCAAATGAGCAAATCATCTCTCTTGTTCTAGAGTCTCATCAAGAAGGGAGGTGCCATCCTGACAATCGGGTGACACAATAGAAAACTAAAAAGGTCATCTCTCCCTTCTGTGATAATGGAAATTCCAAAGTTGTAAAGTGGCTTGAAGGGGAAGGTCTGTCATTGAAAACTCTTTGAGAGGGGAAACAAGTTTCTGCCTCTAATAAGGGCTGATAGTACCCAGGAGCCTTCTGCTCAGACAGGTTTCAGAACCAGCCACAGAACCACATAAGAGCAGATTCAGGAAAGGGAATGGGTGGTCTGGATGACTCCGTATGGGCACGTTCACATGGTGTGTTCACACATGTGCTGTTTCAGACACAGGGACCTTGAATGAGCCGTACCCACACCCCCTGCCTGGGGCACTAACAATGGAAGGCTTCGGCTAATCCCACCACATTCCAATTTCCCACCAAGCTCTACTCCTTTCCATTTAAAAAACAAACACAGGGAAAAACATTTTAAATAATCAGGCTGGAAGATCGAGATTAAAAACAATTTAAAATAAACGTCTACTCTGGCACTTTCGAAAAAACACACCACGCTGCATTAAGTGCTTTGAATTAAGTAAATTATGCCAAGTAACTAATTTACATAATTATCAAGATTTGCATTTTACACATGTTATGATGAAAATGGGTTTATAAAATAATTCTTCACCAACTTCTGTTCCAAGTTGGGTTCCAGTATTTGGATAAAATTCCGCGGTGTTTATCTGCTACTGTCTTTCATGTTTCAAATCTCTGGCTCCTTCAATATTTTCTTTTAATCTGGCAGGTCCCTTGTTCCCACTGCAATAAATAGTCCCTTTGATTTGCAATTCCCTTCCATCAGCTAAGTGAGATCATATTTTTAAGGAATCCATAATATGCTAATGATTTTTAGAATTTTCACAAATAAAGTTTGATTTTCCTGTCACCTTTCACTTACGAGGTATTTGGTAATGATTTTAGCAGTTCTTCCTCTATGATTTGCAGGGATGGTTTTCAGAGTCCTGCTGCTTTGATGCCATTTTTTCAGGATGAGGAATTGGCATGGCATTTCCCCACAAGCTTCTTTCCTGCATCAACAGGCCTCTCGGGGCAGGAGCAAGACCCCAGCTGAAGTCGCCCAGTGAGAGGCTCGCCTCCAGCCCTCAGGTGCTTGGTGCCCTCTCCCTGAGCTGCTGGATTCTTCAATGCTTCATTTCTTTTCTCCCTCTCTGCGGCTTGTGAGGAAGGCTAACCATACCATGAAAGATGAAAAAACTGAAGGCCAGAGAAGTTGAGCTCCTCCTTCAGAACACAGAGGAATGACCCACATCATTGCTTTGAGGGAGCTCTGGGTATTTTTCTGGATTCCTCTTTCATTTAAGTAGAGAAGCAAATCTAGAGAAGTAATTTCCAAGTGTTTGTCCAAACAGCCACATGTGAATTTCCAGGGGCTCCAAAGCTGATGCCTTTGGATTTTGTTAATGCCACAGCCAGATGACATCTCTCCATGGTATGGCCAAACCAATGATGGCGTAATCGTAACAGCATGCTACAGACTGAATGTTTGTGCTCCCCCAAAATTCATGTGTTAAAATCCTAACCCTCAAGGTGATGGTATTAGAAGAGGGGGTTTTGGGAGGTAATTAGGGTTATAAGGGCAGAGACCTCCTGGTTGGAATTAGTGGCCTTATAAGAAAATAAGAGACTCGAGATCTTTTTCTCTCCACCAGGTGCGCACACTGAGAGAAGATGGCCAACTGCAAACCAGGAAAAGTGCCCTCACAAGACGTCAGATCCAGCACCTTGATCTTGGACTTCTCAGCCTCCAGACTGTGAAAATTAAATGTGTGTTGTTTAAGCCCCCCAGCATGAGGTATCTTGTTAATGCAGCCCAAGCTGACTAGCACACAGCACGTCTTATCCAGGTCTGACTTCTAGCCAGGCACTATGTGAAGTAATTTGCATATACTGTCTCATTTAGTCCCCATGACACCCTCATGTCTTGCCCGAGTTTATCTAGCCTAGGAAGGTGCTCAAATCCAGGGCCTCTGACTCCAGAGCCAGAGCTCTTTAGTCTTATTCACCAACAAGCTGAAGGCACGTGGGAAGGGATGAGAAGGAGGCAGGTTTGCAAACCCCATCATGTTTGCAATGGTCTGGTTTGCAATGCTGAGGTAGGTGCCTGGCACACACATTTCCTCTGAGCCTGAGCACCTGTAGGGAATTACCAGAGTATGCCCATTTCACAGATAAGTCACTGGCTCAGAACAGAGCTGGGATCCAACCCTGGATCTGTCTACTATAAAGGGCTCTGCTCTCTGTGCACCAAGACACAGCAACTCCCATCCCCACCCCAGACCTATCTAGTGGCCACCGCAGGCATATAGAGCTCCAGAGAGACCGTGCAGCAGGCTGGTCAAATGCTGGAGTTTGGCATTTAAGAATGGCAAGAGGAAAACATGATGCATGCCATTACCAGCTGTTAATTTGCAATCAGTATTAATAAGTGACATTACACAGTGAAATGTAGCATCTTCATTAGTTCTGTAAATTATCACTCTGAGTAAAGCCCATTCTACTAGAAAGAGCAGCCCCAACCGAGTTAACCTGGAAGCAACCTGGGACGGGTTCCCCCTCTGCAGACCTGTCTGAGGGCCACCCAGGGGCTGTCACCCACCCACCCAATGGGACCTCCTGATCCCTGGGACCAGCAGTGTCTCGGGATCTGCGCTGGTGGGGAATGTGTGTGGGGCTGCCCTGGTCACTGCCCACAACTCCCACCCTCTCAGTGACAGGCTGATGGGACTGCCCCACACTATCTTACCCACTCAGGCTTGCTCCAAGCCTATGTCTGGTGCCCAACCAGGCCATGCCCTATCGTGGATACTAGAGAGAAGGATCAGACCCTGTCCCCAACTTCAAAGGAGCCCAACAGGAAACAGACAAGAAAACAGTGTTTGAGGATGTACTAGGAACAGCAGGGAGTGCACGAGAAGGGGTTTGTTTCTCCAGACAGAGGGAAGGTCTCAAGAAAGCCTTCAGAGAGTGGGGAGTTGGAACTTGCAGGATGAAGAGGCATTTTCTGCATGGACAAGAGAGGGAGTATTCCAGACCAAGAGGATGTCAGGATCAAAGGCCTCATGGAACCCAACAGCCCAGCTGTAGACCTGTGTGTGGTTCTGTTTGGGTATGAGGGGTGTGGGACCTTGTGTGCCCACAGAAGGATAGCCACAGTGGCATTTCTGGGCAGGAGGGATGCCAGAAAACCCTGAGACCAGGGCCTAGGGCCCAGCCATGCCAAGCCCACCACTCCTGCCCACTGCCTCCTGTCTCTGAGGCAGAGAAAGGATGACAGCAACGGAGACACTGCACTGGAGTGAGCCCTGAAGCCCCGCTCTGCGCCCGAGAGCCCCCATAGCTGGAGCAGATGCTGCCTAGCTCTCAGGGAGGCCACTTCAGGGCAGGGCTGTGGCTCCCCTGTGGGAGAAAGAGCCTGGGCTTTGGGGCCTGCCACAGGGGAGGTGGACTCATGGGTAGCCATCTCTGGCCTGGGCACGGCTCTTAAGCTCCCTGAGCCTCAGCCACTGCCTCTAAATTGGGCAGAGTGAGGCTGTCTAGGGGTAGGACCACTGTGAGGGGCACACAGAAGGACAGACATGAAGCACCTGGGACAGAGCCCGTGTGAGGGGCAGGCTGCTCGGAACAGCAGCCCATCCTCTCCAGTGCGGCTGCCACCCCTCACCCGCCTGTGCCTTGCCAGCCCTGACAGGGAGGCTTCTGCCTTCACAGCTTTCCACTGACCTCATGACAAGTGTTCTTTAAATTATGTATTTAATTTACATAATTACTTTCTGATATTTACTCGGGTTTAATTTGTTTCCTCGGGAACCTGTCTTTGAAGGGACAGTGGCAACCAGAGCCAGAAGTGAAGCCACAGCAAGGGGCCCACAGATGCCACCACCCCTCATTGTGGGCCTCCTGACGCCACTTCTGCAGAGGAACCTCACTCTGCCTGAGCTCCAGGGTGCCACAGAGCTTCCCGTGCCTGAGCCCAGTGGGTGCCAGGTCAGGTGGCATCTGGGACTCCACCCCATGCCTGAGTCTGGGTGCAAAGGAAGGCCTCCCTGACTGACACATTCACTCACACACACACGCTCAGGTATTCCAGCTCACCAGTGCTCACACTCACCTGCACTCACACACACTCAGTGGGCTGGAGCCCATCCTACCACCTTGCCAGAGCCTATTGTTAAATTTTCAGGAATTTGCAAGCCAGTTATTAAACATAGCCAGTATGGATTAAATTATATAAACCTATAATTAAATTATATTAACAAACAAAATTGATAAATACACAAAGTTCATCATTCCCTAATTATTTTGCTGCATTTTACTATTATCTGCGCTCTTGAGGCTATTAATGTCTATCCTATCTGAAACACCAGAAATAATGGGTGTCATTGCTTCCCAATTCCATGTCTAGGGACATCATGCTGCTCAAGATGGGGCTGGTGGTCAGCAGAGGCCAGGAGCTCTGCAAGAACAGCATGGGGACATGGCTGGATACCCCAGCCCAGGCAGCCAAGCCATGCTAGGAGCAACACAGATGGCCCAGGGCCTCTGCAACCCCACAGAGCCCCGCCACCAAAACATGCCTGCTAAGCCCCCAAATTAAAGCCACATCAATATTAATTAAGAGGCAGGATCTGCAGGCCTAATGGGGCTGCCTACCCATCCATCACAAACTCGTTACCTCCTGCCAGAACCTCTTGGGCCAGATTACAAATGGGATGTAGGGTGGGGGCGGGGAGGCAGGGTATTATCTTAAAATATAATTTGAATTTTCCTTCCAAAATACCATCCTCGGGCTGATCCATCACATGCCGCACCCGCCCAGGCCTGGCACAAGCATGGACTGGACGGTGGAGCCATCCATCACAGGCCGCCGGAAGGCCCTGGAAATGCCAGAGTTGCTCTTGGGCTCCGAGGAAGGTGCAGACAACTGGACTAATAGTATGATCAATGCCAGTGGGGTGGGGCTGCAACCATGGGAAATACCTGCCCAGACCAACACTGTCCCCTCTCCTCCTCCCAAGGGTAGATGTCCTTCCTGCCAGGAACGCTGGGTGAGGGGAGTAGGGAAGTGAGCCCCCATTTATGGCTTATGAAGTCCCTTCTTTGCACTGTCCCACTCTCTCCCCTTCATTTCCTCCTCACAGCAAGCCTACGGGAGCAGGATTTTCATTCCTTCTTTACAGAGGAAAAAACTGGGGCCTAGAGAGCTTCAGGCACTCTAGTAACAAGGGCTGAGCCAGGAGGTCTGATTCTGTCCAGCTCTGCCACCTCCAGGAGAGTGATACAACAGAATGTCGAGCCCCAAGGGCCACAGTCCACACCCTGGTCTCCAGAAGGGCCCCCGGCTTCTTGACCAACCTCCATATCCAAGGGGGTCCATCCCAGCAGGAGCAGGTGTCTCTAGAGAGTGGCTGCAGATCCTGGGAATCTTTCTCACCACTGCATACTCCCAGGTCCAAGCATGGAGCCTGGCATGCAATAGCAGCTCAGAAAAGTCACATGGAAAAAATGTTCAAATTAATTACAGAAATGCAATTTCTTGTCCAGGAGTAGAAGCTCGAGTCCAACAGAAGCCCACACCTGAGCTAGGCTGTGCAAACTGAAGAGGAGGAATTGACAGAGCTGCCATCGTAAGCTGGGCAAGAGCACACACCTCTGCTCGCTGCCACCTCTCCGGGAGCAAAACCAGGGGACACCCCAGCAGTGCACCCAGCACTGTACCAAGCCCCACACACTCCCCGTCTCATTTACTCACCCCAGCAACCCCAGGAGGGCAGGTCTATTATTATCCCCACTTTACAGATAGCAAAATTGAGGCTTGGAGAGGTGAGTGCCAATGCCACAATTCAAGTCCAAGTCAGTCTGACTCCAAAGCCCCTGCCCTGAGTCTTTCTGATATTTAGGAACATGCCTCCTATACAGAAGCCCCTCATTATTGTTAGCCCCCTTCACCTTCCAGAAAATCCAATAATCAAAAATAAATCCACACTCTGCCAGATGCCCTCTGCCCAGGCCAGCACCACGGGCTGTATGGCTTGCTGAAGGCTGGGGAAGGCCCTCTGGTGGCCCTGGGTCTGTGCAGCCCCTGCCTGCAGCCAATAGCTGGTGATCACTTTGGCTGTCGACGGCCAACCTGCCATTCTTCAAGATGTCAACCACACAGCCTCTGCCCGGGACACCAAATGGGCTCTTTCCTAACCCACATCTGCCTTTTTATTTTTTTAACCAACTTTGCAAGAGCAACTGAAAGGGCAGATTCAGATTCTGAGTCAGAGTTTTCATTGCAATTATAGTGATTTCCAGTTTAGAGGGAAATGAACACCCCAGAAAGCATTTAGAGTTAATCCTACCATTCTGGAATAGCAATAAAACTTCCTGAGGAATAAAATATGAGCAATTCATCACAAGCCCTGTCACCAGGATAAAGGGGAGATCCAATTGTCTGTGGGTTAGCACAGGTTCCTGGGGCAATCAGAGGTGTCAGAAGCTCTGGAGGAAGTCCCCCATTCTCGTCTCCACTCCCCTGCCTTTTTCACTGAATATATACATCAGCCCTAAACGAGGGGACAGGTTAATAGTCCTCAGGACTCTCTAGTGGGTGTAGGGGAATAGGGAGGGCAGGAGGGAGGAAAGTCATGAATCTCTAGCCGGGGCTGGGCTGTGTGCTTGCCTCCAGGAAGCTCTGAAAATCCACTGGCAGGATACAGGCCTGAGGAGGATGGGAAGGCAGGGAAACCTCTGAGCAACAGGATGGGTGCAAGGCATCAAGGGTGACCATGCCTGCTGATGGGGAGGACAAAGCCCCCAGACATCCAAGGCAAGTTCCAGTCCGCAATCTGACCTTCCTAGCTGAGCACTGTCCAGCAAGCAGGCTGGAGAAGGAGTCAGATATAGAGACAGCTGCAACAAGCTGCAAAATTCGGAACTCCATCCACATGTAAATGGTAGGAGAGCCCAAAAGAATGCCTGGCCTCTAGCGAAGGTGTGAGCAAGGGGAGAAGAGAGGGGCAGCAGATGCATGCACAGCTTGTTGCCTGCCCAGCACATCCGTCTTCCTCTGGAAACAGCTCCCTGCTCTTGTTTGGGGGAATGACTCCTTATCCTGCTCCAATCCGATTTTATAGCTCTAGTGGGTGCTGCCATCCATGCACCCTGTGCCCCAGGCACTGGCCACAGCTCATTAGTCCAGAAGAGGTCACATGATTCAGGCCCAGCCTGTCAGAGCCCTTCCCTGATTTTTTTCAAACTGTAACTAAGAGAAGAGGGATGGCGCTCTAGACAAAGCTGGTAGGAGACTCAGGAGGTGAGAGCTGCCATGTTTCTTGTCCAATGGGGGAAGCTGGGGTGAGGGAATTGACCGATCTACAGGTGAAGAAAACAAAGGGCCACATTTGGGTCCCTGGTTTGACAAAGCCAGAGGCTCAGATGGCCCTGGCACTTTAACTAAGGTAGCTCAAGGTGAGTTTCTGTCACCCATTGCCAAAAGAGAACCACAAGAGCAAAAGCACAGAAGCAAGAAATGTGTGGCTTGTGATTAATGGTGCTATGTGGCAGCAGATGAGGAAGGGAATGTCAGAAGAGACGTCTAGAACAAGTCATGTCCAGGTGATCTCACGTCTCAAAGGCCAGCATGATGGGTCTGTACCCTCAGATAGGAGGGATACCCTAAAGTTGTGGAAGGACATAAACAGGGCTGGGCCAACAGAAGTGGTCTGGAGAGAACAGTGGACAAGAGTGGGAGGTGTGGCAACAGACCAGGCAAGAGAGGATGACAGGCAGGCTCCAAGGGGAGGGGCATCAGGAGTGAATGAGGATGAAGGAGAAGAGGCACTCAGGGGAAGAGTGAACAAGCTGACTGTCTGGATGGAGAGAGGGGAAGAAAAGGGAGGCTAGGATGGCTTGGAGGCTTCCAAACAGGACCTCTGGAAGCCTGAAGGTGGCAATAGTGAATCCACGAAACAGAGAAGGAGGAACAAGCTTAGGATGGAAGCTACGAGTTCTGATGGGGGCTTGTTTACTGTGAGGTATTAAAGCACATCTTAATCAGATGCTTGAAAACTTGAGTCCAAACATGATCAGGACTACAGATGTAATTTGCTGTGTCCTCACCACAGAGGAACAACTGAAGCCACAAATGTGAATGTTGGCCCAGGAAGAGATACAGAGCAAGACAGAATGAGGGCTAAGGACATGGCATGAGACCCAGAAGGCAAATGCCCTCCAAGCAGGAAAAGGGGGCATTTCCAGTAAGCAGGGTGGCCAAGACCACTGGGTACTCGGAGGGCTCAAGGGTGATGAGCACAAAACGGTGCTGCCTATGCCATGCATGCTGGCGAGGCCCCCAGAGAACTTCTAGTGGAGTGACAAATGGAGAAATGTAAAGAAGGGCTTGTATGCCATGCTCAACCTTTTCTCTCCCTAAACACGTCTCTCCTCCAGGTGCTCACCAGCAGGACCCCTCCCACGGACAGCTTGGAATTGGGAGTATTTCCCAGTAACCTGAGTTCTTAGGCCACCTCTGTGGGCCCCATGGAAGAAAGCAGATGGAAAGTCCAGGGAGTGACAGTGAGGTTACCCTAGGGACAACCTGGAATCCTCCTAAATTATAAACGCAAGTTGACAGCCAACGCAAGTTGAAAGCCAAGAGTCAGTGAAGGTGTTGTCAGCACCCTCTCCATCATTATGCAAAATATAGGAGATAGTAGCCTCCTCGGGACTGTCCATAAGTGTGGCTGCCTGAGCTCCGGCTCCAGCTGCTCCCACAGGTGAGCTGTGGTCTCCCTGAAAGGATGTTGAGCCCCTGGAGCATGGAACCAGCACAGCCTAGACAATAATCAAGAGGATTTTCATAAACAGCATGAATTCTCAGGATTTTCTGCTGTGTCATTTCATGCCAGACTTGTCCCCCAACGCAGTGCTTCTGCTCTGACACAGGCCTGCTCACAAGCCTCCAGGGCTCCGGGTCCATGGAAGAATTTCCATTCATCGGCCTGAGACTAAGCACCTTGACAGAGGGGAAGGGCCTGGCCCTGGGAGTCAGACAGCCCTGGCCCCAGTCTTGGCTTCACCATCCATCAACTAAGGTGCCTCTCACCTCTCTGCACCTTAGTCTCCCTACCAATGAAAACACTGATTACAATTAAAAGGGGAAATGTATCTCCATTACAGGGCTATTGTGAGAATTAAAGGCCAGGTATTTGTGGAGGTGCCCAGTGAATTGCAGCTACGATGACCATCATCAGAAATTACTCACTCACCTACTAAGCCACTGGAAGCAGCTGATGTGCCACTTACCTGTCCTGGTTTTCACCAGCACCCTGACTCCTGACCTTTCCAAACTCTCTCTGCTCTGTAGGACTCAGCTCCAACCCCACTTGAAAGGGCTCCCAGACCAAAACAAGCACATGTGTGAGGTCACGGAGGTACCACAGAGATGGGAAATTATTCAAAGAGGCAATCTGGGAGGCCATGGGATGAGTCAGGAGACACTGAAACATGGCTGAGAGGTTTGTGTGACCAATGGGAAGCAAAATATGAGCAGATGTCCCCACTCAGACTGTGCACCCTGAGACAGAGTCTGGGTGATCCCACACTATCCAATGTGGCAGCCACAAGCCACAGGGGGCTTCTGAGCATTTGAAACGAGGTGGAATCAACTGAGATCGGCTGTAAGTGTAAAGCCGAGGTTGAATTTCAAAGCCTTAGTACAAAACAAAGAATGCAAAATATTTCATTAATTATCTTTTTTTTGAGACAGAGTCTCACTCTGTCGCCCAGGCTGGAGTGCAGTGGCGCGATCTTGGCTCACTGCAAGTTCCGCCTCCCGGGTTCACGCCATTCTCCTGCCTCAGCCTCCCGAGTAGCTGGGACCACAGGCGCCCGCGACCATGCCCGGCTAATTTTTTTGTATTTTTGGTAGAGACGGGGTTTCACCGTGTTAGTCAGGATGGTCTCAATCTCCTGACCTCGTGATCCGCCTGCCTCGGCCTCCCATTAATTATTTTTATATTAATTATATGTTGAAATGACAATAATGGGCTAAAAGAAATATACTAAATTAATTTCACCTTTTACTTTTTAAATTTTAAATTACATATGCGGTTCACACTATACAGTCATGCACCACAAAATGACATTTCAGTTAACAATGAACGTGGTAATCCCAAAGGTTATAATGGAGCTGAAAAACTTCTATTGCCTGGTGATATCATAGCCACAGTAACATCATTACCTTTTCTATATTTGTTTAGATACACAAATACTTGCCACTGTGTTACAGCTGCCTACAGTATTCAGTACAGTAACATGCTGTGCAGGTTTGTAGCCTAGGAGCAATAGGCTATCCCATATAGTCTAGGTGTATAGGTGGCTGTACCCTCTAGGTCTGTGTAAGTACACAGTAAAGACAACAATGAGCCCACCTAAGATGCACTTCTCATTAAGCAATGCACAACTATATTTCTGTTAGAGCTGGGCCAGAGCCTTGTCTGTGCCACAGGACACAGCTTCGCTCAGCATGCCTGCTCATCATTCATGGGACAGAGGCAGGGGGCACAGGGCTAAGTCAGCCAGGGTTCAACACTGGACTCCACCCCTTACCAACCATTTGGCAATGAACAATTTTAACCTCTCTCTGCCTTTGTTCCTCATCTATAAAATGGGGATGATAACAAAGCCAACCTCAGAGGATTCTTACGAGAATTAAATCTACATTCAAAGCAGGTAGAATAGTACCTAGCAAGTGGTAAGAGCTGAACTAGCTCTATCACCACGACCATCATTATCATCACCTTCACCATCACCTTCATCATCACCACCATCATCATCACCACCACTACTACCACCATCATCATAACCATCAACATCACCACCATCAACACCAGCATCATCATCATTATCATCATCATCATCGTGTGAGCCAAAGCACAACTGTCCATGCCATACCTCCAGAACACCAAGCCCTCAACTGGGGGATTAAGCCAGGATGGGTCTGATTTCTACACAAAGGAGCCACCCATAGATGTGTATGCTATGCTTGGTCTTGCCAAAGCCACAGCTGAGTCCTAAGGCATCCTGCAAATGCTCACTGTGTGCCTGTCCTCCCTCCTGCTGCATGCACCTCACCAAAGCACAAATTTCATTTCAACCATGTAGAATTCCCAGTTCAGTCCAGATCACCTATTCTTCCCCTCCCCTCCCAGCTGCCATGCCTCCTGCAGACCAACTAGCTAGCATCGCCACTCTGGAGTAACTCTTTAGGACCAGTGACATCAGGAGTTTGCAGAATTATGCCAACAAAAAGAAAGTTCACTATGTACTTTCTGGCATTCAGAGTGGAGGGGAAGAAGGAGGCATGGTCAACAAAGGGTCAGGAGGCTGAATGGCCAGAAGCCAGCAACCTGCTGGTGGTCACCATTTTCAGACCCAAGTGCCTGCCCAGACATGCTGAGCAGAAAGAAGCTCATCATCAGCAACCCCCAGTGCCATAGGAAGAAGGCCACAGCATGTGCTGAGGGCCTATGATGTGCCAGGAACCATGTGCTCCCTCATATAGTCCTTGCAAGAGTCCTTCCAGGGGGGAATAATAACCCCATTTTTACAGATCAGTAGCCTAAGGCTCAAAGATGTGAAGTGACTTGCTCAGGGTCACACAGGGTATAAGCGGTAAAGCAGGGAATGGAGTCTAGGAGACTCCAGCCCAAAAGCTGTTCTCTTAAAACGGTATAGCCCACTGTCTGAGCACACGCTCAGTGTGCTGGAAACAAAGCATCCTTATTATTAGAGGCCAAAATCCTGCCTTGATCTCTCAGCATCTGTTTGGGTGCTCCCCTAAATACTCAAGAATGAGGGTGTTCTTGTGAAAAAGTGTTTACCCAGCTGGCTCTCAGGAAAGCTGTGCATTGTCCCAGGCCTCCCACCTCTCAGCTGATAGCACCAGCAACAACAGACAGGCTACATGATGTGAAATTCCCACACCCTGGCCGTCCAACCCCGGTGACCCAAAGAACTAAGGTGTGAGCCATGCTTTTAGGAATAAGAGACAGCATGAGAAAATAAGCTGGTAGCAAGGAGTGTCAGGAGGGAAATCCGGGGCCTGACATCCTAGCACATTCAGGCACATTCAGGTAGCTAGAGGTTTCTGAAGCCTGCATAGGGGGTGGTGTAAGAGGGAAGACAGGGCACTTGGAGAGTGACTCAGCCTGAGAAGCTGAGTCAGGACAGGCAGCTGCGGGAAGGGAACAGCATTTACGAAGCTCCCACCTGGTGCCAGGCTCTGGGGCAGGCTAATGTGTGCTACCCCCACCGAGCGCTCCTGCTCCTCCCATGAGAAATGCCCTAACCCCATTACACAGATGAGAACAGTGAGGCTCAGTGAGTGCCCTAAGCCAAAAAGTAATCTTAGGAGCTGAGGCTGGGGAACTGAGGGTCTCTGTAGGCCATGAGTGCTTGAGGGAGTCTCCAGGAGGGCTTATCTCTCATCAGTCAGAATCTGCCTTCCCAAAAATGCTGCACATCTCAGCCACATCACCCTGGTTCTGGGCAGGGTTTTTTGCAAGCAGGTGGAGATGACTTGCTGGCTGACTTGCCTGAGCCACAGGCTTGCAAGCAGGTGGTGGTGGTCACAATGGAACTGGATCACTGAAATGGCCGGAGGTGGAGGAATTGATAACAACATCTCAATCCACTCAGAAACCAAGAGGAAATCAAACAAAAATTACATCCAGCTTCTCCCTGCTAAAACCAAATCAATAGAGAAGGCAGAAAAACAAGTGTGTTGTATTTTGTACAAATTTCCGATTGTCACTGTCTGTTTACCGAAGGAAAATGCTGGTGGTCACCCAGGGAGGGCTCCTGGCAGCTGTCCTGCTCTGGAGGGACGGCAAGACACCCAACCAGTGGTAGGGCAGTGGCAGGGTGTTTTTGCAATGCCATTTCACTTCTAATTAAAATTAAATATTAAACAAATGAATATGTATAAATGTGTCCTGGGGTTAGTAATTTATCTAGATGGACCTCCACACCTTTTGGGGCTTTGGGTGGGTGGTGTCCCAGGCAGCAAGGCCCAGGGAGGAAAAAGGGAAGAGGGTGCAGCCATCACAAGGAGGGAACTGACCCAGAAGCAAAGACAGGAAAAGGGCAAAATCATGGGGCCATCATTACCGTGTCCCTGCTGAGGCCCAGGGACCCTCACCCCATGCAGGGAACAGGAAGAAGAGCCATACATCCCCATCCCAGCCACCCAAAGCCCAGCCACACAGCTCCTCCTTTCCCAAGCCCACTAGGGACAGCTAACTGCAAACTGTGTGTTCTCTCACCTAAAAGCAAGGGGCAGCCAATCTTGTTTGTCTTCAGAAGCTTTCCATGGATAAGGCACATAGTAGCTCAGACTCAATTTCCATTCCCAATTCTGCAAATCCAACCCTAAAAACAGGGGTGTCCTGTGCATAAAAAGGGTCTTGGGGCCAACTTTTCAAAAGTATAGAGGCAAAAAGTCTGTCTGGATCTGGAGCCAGCAGGGTGCACACTAGTGGACAGGTGAGGGTGTTGGGTGGGGTTGTCCATGACCCACTGCTTGGAGAAATCATTCCTCTTGGCTTTACTATTCTTTGGAAGTGGCCTTTGGGCATCTGTCCCAACACCCAGAGAGAACCTTCTGGGTCATGCCCTGTGCACAGGGCTGAGATGGGCTCCTGCGAACAGAGTCCTGGGGTTGCAGATTTCTCTCCAGGAGGGCAGCCTGGCAGGGGGCATATATCTGATCCATCATCATGGGCATGGGCCTGAAGGAGCCTTCTGAAAGCCAGTGTCAGGGGGTTGTTGAGTTGGAGAGGCCTGTACTAAGTAAGTAGCACATTAGGGTATAAGAACCTGAGGAAACACAGGGGCTGAGATTCCAAAACTGAGGGCCAGGATGCTGGAGAGGTGGAGGCAGGGAGCGGGAGTGACTCTGTGGACCTCCAATGGGCCAGTACCCTCAGTGCCCTTTATGCATCCCAGGTTGTCATGGGGCAGGCTGGAGCCACTTGAAACAACGGGAGTGGGAGCAGCACAGCCTGGCCTGGCACTTGCGTCTGAGCCTGTGGCTGCCCTGGGCCATGGCACTGCCAGCTGTCTCCATCAAGCCCAGGTGAGGCGCTCCATGGCCCATCCTGTCCTTGAGGCCCATAGCAGAGACAGAGCTAGGGGCTGTGGGGTGTAGCTGTCCTATGAGCATGAGCCCCAGAGCAGCATGTTTTGACGCATTTCTTTTTTTTTTTTTTTTCATTATACTTTAAGTTCTAGGGTCCATGTGCACAATGTGCAGGTTTGCTACATATGTATACATATGCCATGTTGGGATGCTGCACCCGTTAATTTGACGCATTTCTTAAAGATCCTCTGTTAACACGTCAGCTGTTAAGCCAGTGATGAAGACTGTGAGCATGATACTTTGGACTGATAGCGTCAGCCACCGACCAGGCAGGCAGAGAAGCGGTCAGAGGCTGAGACTTTGAGCCTTGCCCCTGCAGTTGGCCTCTGGCTGCTCTTCTGGCCCAGAGCCACAAGCAGGGACTCTGTGTGGGAGGCCTGGGTCAGACAATGTTTGTTGAGTCCCCACTCGGTGGCAGGGATGGTGGGGGCAGTCCATCTGTGGTCTCTTAATCTTCTTTCTAGAGAAGTATGATTATCCCCACCAAATGGCTGAGAGGATGAAGAACAGAGAGGAGGAAGAGTGGCCCAGCACCCCCCGCTGGTATGTGGTCGCCTGCTCAGCCTCACCCATCTGCTTACATCACCCTGTCCATCTCAGAAGCTACTGGCAAGGCAAGGAAGGGTCTCAGGCCTGAGGCCCCTGCACCACCCGGTGCTGCTCACTCCAGCTGGCCATAGTCCTAGGACCCCAGGTGGGGAACAGTTGTCAAAACAAACCGGGGCAGCACTTTTGCCGGTGCACCAGGCTGGGCAGAGTGGGAGGGGCTGTGTGAGCTCAGTGAATAGATTACCCGCTTCAATTATTTTATCTAACGATGACATTTGTACTGTAAAAGTCAGCACAAAAATCAATGAGTTTTAAAGGACAAAATCTGGGGGAGGCTCCAGCCCAGCGACCTGGAACAGCAGCCCAGGAACCAGAAGGAAAGAGAGGTTCAGAACCATGGAGGTGAGCAAGATTCCCAGGATGCCAGCGCTGGGGTGGCCCACCCCCAGCAGCACCAGGGAGCAGAGAACAAAAGCGCTCAGTGCTGAGGCCCAGCCCTGAACCCCGCAGCCTGAAGCATTCATTCATTAATTCATTCATGCACAGGATAAATATCTACTAAGTGACACTGTGTTCCAGGCAGCCTGCTGAGCACAGTCTTAGAGGGACAGTCCCTGCCCTCACCCAGCACAGTGGAGGAAACAGAAGGGTAATTAAGTCCATAATTGCGCAATCAAATAGTTAAATTACAGTTAAACAAGGACAAAGTCTAACTTCATCAGGGGGTCAGGGAGAGTTTCCCAAGAAAATGAGTTTAAGCCAAGGCATGGAGGAGGAGTTTGCAATGGGTACAGAGAGGTGGGAGAGGGAACAACATTCAGGCAGATGGAATAGCATGAACAAAGCTGAAGGTTTGGCTTCCTCCAGGACCGATGGAAGCCATTCCCTCCAATGTAGTCGGCCCTACACTCACTCAGCCTCTCTCTTGGGGCCCCAAGGGGTAGTGGATGAAGCTGGGGGCACATCAGCAGCATGGAGGAGGCAGCATGGGTGGTGATAAAGCATGTCCTTGGGTGATGGGGACCAGAAGGCAGACCAGGCATCCAAAGGCCAGAGAGATGGAGCAAAGAACAGTGGACAGAAGCGAATGTTCAGTGGGGGGTAGGAAATTTGGGGAGTCCAACAATGGCAGAAGTACCTTCAGCTGCCCTGCTGTGTGCTCCAGAGGCAGACTGTGCCTGTCAGGACGAACAGTCATGGAGCAGCCACAGGGGGTTTCAATCAACCCCAGCTATGACCAATAGAGGAAAAAAAAAATCTGTGATCCTGGAGGGATACTCGCAGTGCACATTTCCCATGCTCCTTTATTACATCCTGGTGGTAGGAGGAGGAGCAGAGTGGGCAGAAAGCCCTGATGAAGAGCTAGATCTGAGATGAGGCCAAGACAAATGGTTGTGTCAAAGCATCTGCAAGTTTCTATGTTGCTCGGCGCTCAAGGTTTCTGGAGGAAAATGCCTGAATAGCCCTTTTTCTGTGTAAAGGACCAGGCCCAGTCTAGACCAAGGCAGAGAGGGAAATGGGAGCACACGGACCCTGCAGGGCAGAACTGCAGCATTGCTTGCTGGCCTCCTGGAGACAGAGGGCTGGGAGAAGAGGGGAGGTGTTGAGCCAGGGCTGAGGGCCCACCCCTGCTGAAGCCCAGGGCCAAAGAGGCGGCCTGTGGCTGGCCTAGTCTACAAAGAGGGAGATCCAATATTGGGTGGTAAGTCGTTTCCAGTTCTGGGTTGGGTTTAAGGTTATAAAGACTGGGCCTGGGGTTCTAAGGGTTAGAATTCTTGGAGTTGAGATCAAGGTGAGTGGCCATCCCTCCCTGTTTTCCCAAATTTTAAGTGACAAACTGTCCCACTGACCACTTCCCAGGAGGTGCTCAGGGGAGGAAACCAAGGGAAGCTTCTGTTTAGGGCAAGACGGCGCTGTGAGTGGCTGGCAGGAACCGACATTCAGCAGGGCCTGGGATTCAGGAGGTAAGACTCACTCCTCATTCACACCCCCAGAAATCCTGTGCAGAGCAACGGTTCCCACCACAATCGGAGGAGGCTCCGGTCATGCTGATTGGACATTAGCGCAAAGGGAGATGCCAAAATGCTAAAGACACGGGAACATTTCACATTCATTACGGCTTGGCTAACTATGGAGTAAATGAGACCCATGGATCAGCCTCCATCACGTGCGTTCTGTTGTTCTCAGCGGTTCTTTATATCACTGTCACTATCTTTTTTTTTATTATTATACTTTAAGTTCTAGGGTACATGTGCACAACATGCAGGTTTGTTACATATGTATACATGTGCTATGTTGGTGTGCTGCACCCGTTAACTCGTCATTTACATTAGGTATATCTACGATCAGAGTGAACAGGGAACATACAGAATGGGAGAAAATTTTTACAATCTACCCATCTGACAAAGGGCTAATATCCAGAATCTACAAAGAACTTGAACAAATTTACAAGAAAAAATCAACCCCATCAAAAAGTGGGCAAAGGATATGAACAGACACTTCTCAAAAAACGACATTTATGCAGCCAACAGACATTGTCACTATCTTAGCAGCATTTACTGAGCCAGGAGGTGCAGCTTTACCTGTGTTTTGCAGATGTTTTCTCACCTAGTCCTCAGGAGAACTTGCAAGGCCTATATTACTATCCCATTATGCAAATAAGCACAATGAGGTTCTGAGAGGATGAGTAACTTGGCACAGCTGGGAAGTGGCAAAGTAGGACCTGCTGCCACAACAGCCCAGTTCCTGGCGCCACAGCATAAATTGGCCTGGCTGACACTTAAAATTTAGGTGGGACCAAATACTCCATCTCTGCTTTCTCAAATCAGGAGGTTTTATGTGAGCAGAATGCAGTTCCCCTCAGTCCTCACAGCCATGTCTAAGCTTTTGCTGGGCAGTCTCTATTTCCACACTATTTGCGGCAGGCTTTGTTGCTGCTCTGGCCCAAGTACCTCCTTACCTCCCAAACAGTTAAGCCAGAGCCAGGCCCCAAGACCAAAGTCCCAAATCTCAAGTGCAAAACCTTCCTGCCTTTGCATTCAGGAACTTACGGGCATTGCTACTTTTCTTCTGCAGCAAGGAATCTGGGGCCTATTGGCAGAAAGGCTGAATGGGGAGCACCCCCCACCCAGCCCAGAAAAGACCCAGCCAACAAGGGTAGAAGGGGAAGGCCTCTCCCTCCCTGCAGCTCTGTCATCTTCCCCGCAAACCCCAGCACAATCTTATCAGGGAGACCTGAGGTTTTTCCACAGTTCTGAGAGCACTGATCTATTGGGGGACCAAGGAGCTTCCAATAAAGCAGGACAGAGGGGCCTGGGCCCTGGGAGGGTGTCCATCCAGTCAGGAGGCCAAACCCTCCCTGCTGCTGTCTTCCTGAGGATGAGCATCAGGGAGAAGGGGCCACAGAGGAAGACTGAAGGCCTGAGTGCAGGCCCCACCAAGAAAGAGTGCCTGCCTTCCAGAAGGAACCACCGAGCTGGTCCCAGAATATGTGCTTGCCCACTCTGGAAGAGAACCAAGCATCTCCCCAGGAAGTAGAGGACAGATCCCATAGGCCACAGACACCCTGCCCCTGGCTGTTCCCAAGGACCTCAGGATCAGGCAAACGGTGCCAAGGTTCTGTGGGGACAGTGGTTGCTGGGGGAGTGGCGGGCTTTCCAGCAGCAGCCTCACACTTTGGCCAAGATGTCAGGTGTGCACCATCTTAGCTGGTCCTCCCCACGGCCAGGCAGGGTCCATAGCATTGTAGCTGTTTTACAGATGAGGAAACTGAGGTTTTGCTGCCTTCCTGCCCCACCACCACTGCAGAGTCGGCCCTCCTCAGCATGTTCTAGAGACTCTGATGTTAGACACAAAGTAGGACTGATTCTGCCTTTCTCACAGAAGCACCAGACTCAGCTCGGGCAGCTACCACCTAGGATTCCTGCCTGAGGCTCTCAGGAGACATCTGTGAGAAGAAGACGCTGTGCTCCAGCAGAGGAGGCCCAGAGGCAAGCAGTTGTGACCGAGGGAGGCACCAGGCCAGGCTCACAGTGGGTTCTCCAGGACAGAAGGAGCTACAAGAAGCCCCATAGACCCCCACAGCCTTGAGCACACTGTGTGTGGTGAAAACCAAAGAAGAGGGGAAGCTGTTAGGCAGGCTGCTTGATGGAGGCAGACATGGCATCAGTGGTTTGAAATGAATGCAGCCCAAAAACATCTGGACTCCACCAGAGGCACTACGGGGCAAGGTGAGCCTGCATGAGTGGACCTCCATTCCCTGCCTGAGGCAGTGTGGTGACAGTGAGACAGAGCGTGGACCTTCGAGTCTAAGGCAAATCTTTCTCCTGACATTTATGGGCTGTGTGACTGTAAACAGGTACTTAACCACTTTGAGCCTCAGTTTCTACTGAAAAATAGGCACACAATCTCACCAGGCTGTGTGTGGAGCCGAGGAGACAATGCAGGCAAGGGGCGTGACCCCAGGCTGGGAAAAGTGAAACTCGCCCGCCCTCGTGCACTGCACTGAGATGGGAGGCCCTGCCCAAGCTGTGGGCTGTGTTTACCGAGGGCACATCTGAGCCCTGGGAAGCCCTTAGAAACCGGGATCCCATGACAATCTCCAGAACCCAAGAGCCTGCTGTCCACACAACACCTGTGGATGCAGAATCCCCTCTGCCAGGTGTGGGAAGGATTCTGAGCCAAGTGCCCACTGCACCCTGAGGAGCTGCCCTTCTTCACACACCCCAGCCCTGAGGGAGCCTCAGCAAGCCCAGGGCAGAGCGGTGAGTAAGGCTGGCAGGGAAAGAACACACTCAGGCTTTGCACACAGAGACACATAGAAATACCCAGTCACATACTCAAAGACCCACAAAATACCTGCCTCTGGAAAGACCTTCTTCTAACTCACCCACTTACCCTGGGGGACAGGGCAGGGCAAAGACCCAAGGCAGGTGTGCATCCCAGGCAAGGGGCACAGGTGACAGCACCATTCAGGGAGACTCCCTGGGCACAGAGTATGAGCTGGACCTTGTGAGTTCAGCTCGGTCTGTGGGGAAAGAAATTGAAGCTAGAAAGGGGACCCAGGCCCACAGCTCCAGCCAGGCATTGCTCCCCACTCTCACACACCTGCATGGGTGCACAATGCCGGTGCAGAAAGGCTGAAGGACAGTGTGTCTGACGTAAAAGATGCTTCAGTGCACTGGTTCAGGCCAATCCAGGATCATGGCAAGAGCTAGACCGGACTGCAACAAGAAGGCCTTGTGTCAGACCTAGGGATTTGGTCACAGCAGACCAAAAGGGCCACAGTGGCCTCTGGAAACACTGCCCTGAGATAGATAGGTGCCTTCCGGCAATGACCTTAGGCCAAACAGATAGAGAATGAGGCAAGTACTGTTGAGCTTGTCAAGCCACGCTGTAGCCCCAGGGGCAGTGGTATGCTAGGAGAGGTTTAACTGGCTCTCTGGAAGTAAATAAACCCCTGACTTGTAGCATTTACCAACTTCCTTGATGTAAATATTTCCACCATGGTAGATTTCAAGCTACCAAGGGATATTACTAAGCATGGAGTTAGGACGCCAGCTTCCAGCATGCCCCTGCACAGGGGTACCCACATGTGCCCAGTTCCATCATGGGGGTGGTGGAAGGGATGCTGCCAAGGAGAAAACGAGGGTGGGAACCAAAGCCTGAAACCTCAGGGAAAGCACACAGGGCAACCCATAAGGCCTGGTGAGTCAGCAAGTCAGAAGAGCACAAAATTCCTCTAGCAGTTTCCAGCAGCAGTCCAGCCTGGGATTTCTGAAACATGGTCACTTTCAATCCCCAGGCAGAAGACCCCCACCAGCCAGTTCAACTCAGGAGTCCCCAGAAGATGTCCCATTGCTAGAGGCAAAGCCCTGCCATGGCCTGCAGGAGGAACTCCCCAAAGATGTCCCATCCTGGGAGATTTACCGCTGAAACAGCCCAGCGGCAGCCCATGTGGCTCCACTGGGTCTTCTGAGGATCCCTCTTCTTCAAGGTACAGTCACTTCCTCTGTCCTGCTCAGAGCACAGCTGGAGCTCTCAGAGGCCAAGGCGGGGCAGGAAAGCGCCCCGTGCAAGCCACAGGCACCTGGCCCTGGGGTTCTGAATCAGCACTGCCATGGACTCTCAGAAGACAGGCCTTTCCGCCCATCCTTAATGAAAAGCATTATCCCAAGCCACCTCTCCCAAGAAGGTCTCCAGGCAAGCCTGGGGCTTGAGGGAATCACACAGCCAAAGAGGACCACAACGGTGCCCAACGTGACACCTAGAGCCTGAGTGGCTCTGGCCCAGCCCACAGGACTGGGTTTCTGTACCAGCCCTCCCAGAGCATCTGGGGGTGTCAGCTCCGCAGCAGCCACCTCAGAGCCAGCAGGCGGATGGCATGGTCCAGTGGACAGCGATTCTAATCAGGTCCCTGTCGCCCACCATCTGTATGTCCTTGGATGCACCACAAGCCTCAGTTGACTCCCCGGTAAAGTAGAGCTTCTCATAGGATTGTCGTTTGAGGCCTACAGGAGATAATGGCCCTAGCACAGTGCCTGCCCTCCATAGGCCCCATCACAAATGTGAGCTCCCCCAGGAGAGGGCAATGCCCTGTTCTTTAATGAATGGACCTGCTCTTCTCCCTGCTGGGCCTGCCCATCTTTAGGAGGGTCCCCACTTTGCTCCCCAAGGGACCAGTGAACCACAAAGAAGCATTGCAGAGAGCCTGCCATGGCTATGCACAACCTTTCTATTGTCTCTCTCCTACACACACAAACACACCCACACACATACACACACACACGTGCGCATGCACTCCAAGTGCCAGAAGACAACTGCTAACATGTTTGGCTGACAAAGGAGGAAGAGTCCTTCTTGGGGATGTGTCAGAGCAGGAGTGAAGCTATTTGGGGTCACGTTCTAAAAGCTGAATGGATTTCTGGATCCGTGCTTCCTGTCTATTTTCAGCCAAATGCCAACCCATTTAAAATAGCATGTTTACTCACAGGTTCTCCTCTACACTCAAGTCAAGAAAAACGTTTACCCCCCACGCTTCCTCCCCCAACTCATTAAGCACTTCTGCTTTTCCCTGCCTTCAGACCGCCACCACCCGTTCAGCGTGACTTCCTTCTGAGGCAGTGGTTCTCAGACTTCAAGGCATACTAGAATCACCTGGAAAGTTTTAATACTCTCTACCCTATACCAGTTACATCAGAGCGTCTAGAAGCAGGACTAAGGCACCTGTATTTTTCGAAACTTCCCAAGGGATCCCAAGGTGCAGCCACTATGAAAAGCATGCTTTGGACCTGCCAGGGCAGCAAGAGCTTAAATTAAAGGGATGGTTCTCATCCTTCTCAAGCTCAAGAGAACCACTAGGGAAGGGACCTGGGGCAATAGAAGCGTTTCTGCCTCCAGCCCAGGGATTTGGTATGCAAGCCTGAAAGTTGGAAAGGAAGAAAATCCCCAAGTGCAAGGCCAACCCCACCAGTTCTGTGGGTCAGCTAGCTCTGTGTCTCTCCCATAACATTTTAGGCAATTAAGGAGGTATTGAAGAAAGAGAGATAAACTAGGACATCATGAGTCCATTAGATTAGCTACTAACTGGCTTTATCTCTATTAACCGAGGTGGGGACCCAGAGGGTGAAGATGTCAGCAGGGCTCAGGCGTTCACATAAGTCCCATGGGAAAAGAGGAGGTTCTGCAGAGGCAGGTAGGGTGGGGGCTGTGCAAGGAAATGCCACACTGTAGACTGTCTAAAAGATTTCCAAGCTTCAAAGACAGATGGTTTTAAAGACCAAAAAGTTGGAGCAATATGAATAATCTACTTTAGGGCCATTTAGAAGCCTTTTAATTCCAGACCAGTATGTGGTCATTAGAAACTTGAAATAGTAATTCTACCTAAACCACTCACTTCCAGAGTCTTCATAGCATGATTCATATCAAGCATTTCAGAAAGCAAACGCCGGAGGAACACGCTCTTCCCTAAAGATTTCAGCGAAGCACCTGGAGTTAGAAACCCTACGCGGCATGCCAGGAAATACGTTACACACAGTTTTTCATTTAATCCTTAACTCTGTGATGTGGTTGGTATATTTTTTTCAAGCAGCTTTATTGAGATATAATTTACATGCCAAAAAATTCACCTGTCTTAAGTGTACAATTGAATGGCTTATTATATTCAGACTCTTGCAACCACCACTACAATCTAATTTCAGAACTTTCCCATCAACTCAAAAAAGGAACCTCATTACCATCAGCAATTACTCTCTACACTCCCCTACCCCCATCCCACCCTAGCCCCTGGCAGCCACTTTCTGTGTCTATGGATTCAGCTATCCTGGACATTGCATATAAGTGGAATCATACAATATGTGGTCTTTAGTGGCTAGCTTCTTTCACTTGGCATAATGTTTTCAAGGTTCATCGCTACCCTAGCACTCATCAGTACTTCATTACTTTTTGTGGCCAAATAATACTCCATTGTGTGAGTATACATCAGGTACATATTCATGCATACACCTACTTTATCATCATTTTGCAGATAGGGAGTTACTGCCCCAGGTCAGAGGATTACTGAGTGCAATGCTAGGCAGTCTGCCTCCAGAGCCCACACTTAAGCCTCTATAAACCTCCCTCCCACCGCAAAGTACTGCCCTACTTAATCCCATGGTATGAATCATTTTCTAGCAAAAAATAATATGACTATATTATATGCATGTAATTTTGCAGAAGTATCCAGGGATAAAAGCAATCTGTCCAGGAAACTCGATTGATAGTTTCCTGTTCTCATTAATATTTGCTCATTACTTATCCATCCATCCTGCCATCTGCTCCTCTCTCTAGCCGGCAAGTGATAACAGCACCTAATATTCCAGAAAAGTTAAGGCCGTAAAACCTAAAATAAAAAGCACACAAGATTCCTGTATAACTAAGAAAAAAATGCTATTATATGATTTTATTTTACTTGTTATTATAAAAAAATTTCAAACATTGGAAAAAAGGGTAGTGGGCCTTGTGTATGTCTTACCCAACTTCAGTTGTTACCACCTACACCTCACCCACCCTCAAATTAAGTTGAAGAAAATCTCCAGCATCACATCTTTCACATGTATACATTTCAATTGTGTCTCCAAAAGACAAGGATTTTTCCTGTTTTTGTTTTATTTTGTTTTTAACAGACAGAATATCTGTCACCCAGGCTGGAGTGCAGTGGCCCAATCACGTCTCACTACAGCCTTGATCTCCTGGACTCAAGCAATCCTCCCACTTCAGCCTACCAAGTAGCTGGGACTACAGGTGTGTGCCACCATGCTTGGCTAATTTTTATTGTTTTTTGTAGACACAGGGTCTTGCTATGTTGCCCAGGCTGGTCTCAAATTCCTGGCCTCAAGTGATCCTCCTGCCTCGGCCTTCCAAAGTACTGGGATGACAGGCATAAGCCACTGCACCTGGCCTGACAAGAATTTTTTCTAAATGCAATGCCATAAGCATACCTACAAAAAGTAAACAAACCCTTACTATCTTCCAATATCCAGCCAGTATTCACATCTTCCCATGGTCACACACATTTTTTTTTATAATTTTTTCAAATCAGAATCCTGACAAAGTCTATACATATAGCCAATTGTTTGATACATCTCTTAAATCACTTTTAGTCTAAACTTTCCTCCTCAGTCTTCTTTTCTTTTTTTTTATTTTATTTTATTATACTTTAAGTTTTAGGGTACATGTGCACAATGTGCAGGTTAGTTACATATGTATACATGTGCCATGCTGGTGTGCTGCACCCATTAACTCGTCATTTAGCATTAAGTGTATCTCCTAAAGCTATCCCTTCCCCCTCCCCCCACCCCACCACAGTCCCCAGAATGTGATGTTCCCCTTCCTGTGTCCATGTGTTCTCATTGTTCAATTCCCACCTATGAGTGAGAATATGCGGTGTTTGGTTTTTTGTTCTTGTGATAGTTTACTGAGAATGATGATTTCCAATTTCATCCATGTCCCTACAAAGGACATGAACTCATCATTTTTTTTTGGCTGCATAGTATTCCATGGTGTATATGTGCCACATTTTCTTAATCTAGTCAATCATTGTTGGACTTCTGGGTTGGTTCCAAGTCTTTGCTATTGTGAATAGTGCCACAATAGACATACGTGTGCATGTGTCTTTATAGCAGCATGACTTATAGTCCTTTGGGTATATACCCAGTAATGGGATGGCTGGGTCAAATGGTATTTCTAGTTCTAGATCCCTGAGGAATCGCCACATTGACTTTCAAAAAAGAGCCTGCATCGCCAAGTCAATCCTAAGCCAAAAGAACAAAGCTGGAGGCATCACGCTACCTGACTTCAAACTATACTACAAGGCTACAGTCACGAAAACAGCATGGTACTGGTACCAAAACAGAGATATAGATCAATGGAACAGAACAGAGCCCTCAGAAATAACGCCACATATCTGCAGCTATCTGATCTTTGACAAACCTGAGAAAAACAAGCAATGGGGAAAGGATTCCCTATTTAATAAATGGTGCTGGGAAAACTGGCTAGCCATATGTAGAAAGCTGAAACTGGATCCCTTCCTTACACCTTATACAAAAATTAATTCAAGATGGATTAAAGACTTAAACATTAGACCTAAAACCATAAAAACCCTAGAAGAAAACCTAGGCATTACCATTCAGGACATAGGCATGGGCAAGGACTTCATGTCTAAACACCAAAAGCAATGGCAACAAAAGCCAAAATTGACAAATAGGATCTAATTAAACTAAAGAGCTTCTGCACAGCAAAACAAACTACCATCAGAGTGAACAGGCAACCTACAGAATGGGAGAAAATTTTCGCAACCTACTCATCTGACAAAGGGCTAATATCCAGAATCTACAATGAACTCAAACAAACTTACAAGAAAAAAACAAACAACCCCATCAAAAAGTGGGTGAAGGACATCAACAGACACTTCTCAAAAGAAGACATTTATGCAGCCAAAAAACACATGAAAAAATGCTCACCATCAGTGGCCATCAGAGAAATGCAAATCAAAACCACAATGAGATACCATCTCACACCAGTTAGAATGGCAATCATTAAAAAGTCAGGAAACAACAGGTGCTGGAGAGGATGTGGAGAAATAGGAACACTTTTACACTGTTGGTGGGACTGTAAACTAGCTCAGTCTTCTTTTCTCCCCACAAGGCAGCACACCAGTATTCCACAGGATCTTTGGAAATCATTGAAAGTTCTATAAAGATGTGTGTGAATATGCGTGGCAGGGGAAGTATATGTGTTTAGATATAGATACAGCAATAGCTATAGGGATGGGTACAGGGAGTAGCCGCAGATAGACTGTCTCAACTTGTGGATCTGGTTATTCTCTGTGTATTTCTCTCTCCCCTTTCTCACTCACTTACTCCCAAAAGGCCATTTCCTCTACCTCTTTGCCCTCAATAAAGCAAAAAAAAAAAAAAAGACTCCAAGAAAGTGGTGGCCTAAGTTACCCTCTGTCTTTATAAAAACATCTCCCTCTTGATACCATGATCCCTCCTTCAATGGCCACCATGCCTCCATACCCTTTGACAAAGAGAATTCCATATGACCTAGCCAGCTGGCTCCACTTCCTCTCTTCCTGCCATCTCTCGAACCCACCCCATCTGCCCACTGCCCCACTGCAACGGCTCTTGTCAAGGACATCACGGACCTTTCCGCTGTTAACCCGGTGGTTGACACTCACACCAATGCACCTCCAGTGCCCAGAGCTGTGCCTGGCACAGGGGAGTGTTTGGTAAATGTTTGTGGAATGAATTCACTTAGGGGGAATGAGTCACTATTTTTTTTTTTTTGAGACAGAGTTTCACTCTTGTTGCCCAGGCTGGAGTGCAATGGCGCAATCTCTGCACACTGCAATCTCCGCCTCCCGGGTTCAAGCGATTCTCCTGCCTCAACCTCCTGAGTAGCTGAGATTACAGGCATGCGCCACCATGCCTGGCTAATTTTGTATTTTTGGTAGAGACGGGGTTTCTCCATGTTGGTCAGGCTGGTCTCGAACTGCCGGCTTCAGGTGATCTGCCTGCCTCGGCCTCCCAAAGTGCTGGGATTACAGGCGTGAGCCACCACACCCGGCCTAATTTTTGTGTTTTTAGTAGAGACGGGGTTTCACCATGTTGGCCAGGCTGGTCTCGAACCCCTGAAATTGTGATCCGCCTGCCTCAGCCTCCCAAAGGGCTGGCATTACAGGCGTCAGCTGCTGCGCCCAGCCAGAATCAGCTGTTGGGCTGAGTTCTGGGCTAGATGCTGGGGATACAGAGGTGAACAAAGCGTATTTCCTGTCTTTGAACACCACGTTCTGGGGCTGAAGGAGGAGGAGAGTAGGATATGGAAGCAAATGAATAATAGCACAGTGTTGGAGCATGATAGTTGTCATCAAAAAAAGAACAGAAATAGCACAAGGAGAGTGTATCTAATGTTACCTAAAAGAATGGGGAACTTGGCCTTATTATATTCATCATGGCACGAGGTGAAAGAAAGGCATTTCCAGGCAGGAAGATCAGCATGTGCAAAGGCACTGAGGCCTGAAAAAATGGAGGCATAAGCAAGGAGCAGCCTGTGCATGCGCTGAGAGCTAAAGCAGTTCAGCACTGCCGGAGACCAAAGGCAAATGAGTGAGAAGACGAGGAGATGATCGTGCAAAAGAAGGGAGGGGCCAGGTGGGAAAGGGTCCTGGATATGAAGCTGCAAAGCTTGAACTTGACCCTGAGGCAATGAAGAGCTACTGAAGGTTTTCAAGCTTGGATCTGACTAATCAGACTCATATTCCCAAGTCTCCTCTGGTGACCAATGGGGTGAATTAGAGAAAGAAGACATTGGTGACAGAAAGCCTTGATAGGTCGCTATTGTGCCAGTCTAGGTAAGAAATGATGAGGGACTGTAATGGTGCAGATGGAGGAGTAGATGCAAGGATGCTTGAAAAGGTCAGTGTTCAATCACTGAAAGCTGTGAAAAGGTGTCAGCTTTCTCAGTGGCCGTGGCAAAAGTAAGAAACATCATCCAGTGGCAGTGATGTCACCAGCCAAGACAAAAGTAGACCAGATCTGGAGGAGAAATGGTGAGTTCAGATTCAGCATCTGTGAGACAGCCCCAGGCATGCACGGTACAGTTTCCACCGTATCACTGTCTGGTGCCCTTCGCCCCCACCCCCTACAGCAGCAAACCCCAACAGCACCCAGGATCCCGACCTCCCCCGAGAGAGATGAACACACCCTCCAGGAACAAGCACTTCCAAACAGCAAGAAAATCCTAGGGAGGAAAAAGCCAGGTCTGCTCCTGAGAACTTACTTGCCTTTAACACTCAGCGAAAAGGGTTATTTAGACCAATTACAGTGCATTGTCTTTTCCCTACTCCCTCCAATTACGGCTGCTTCTGAGCCACCCCGTGGGAAAACCCTGCTCAACATTCAACTTACTTCTCTGGAGGCTTCAGGCAGGAGAGAGAGAGAGAGAGACAGAGAGAGATCCCAGTGTGTGCATATGTGCATGAGAGACAGAGACTGTGTATGGGGGGGTGGGTGCATGCATTACAGAGAGAGAGACAGAAGCTTTAGCGTGTGCATGCATGTGTGCATGAGAGAGACAGAGATTTTGGTGTGTGTGTGCATGCATGAGAAAAACAGACAGATTCCAGTATGTGTGTATGTGCATGAGACAGAGACAGTGTGTGTGTGCACATGCATGACACAGAGAAAGAGACTTTAGCATGTGTATGCATGTGTGTGTGAGAGACAGAGATCCATTTGGTGTGTATGAGAGAAAGAGACAGAGGCAGAGAGAGATTCCAGTGTGTGTATATGTGCATGAGCGAGACAGTGTGTGCGTGCGTGTGTGTGCCTGTGTGTGCATGCATTACAGAGAAACAGAAATAGAGACTTTAGCGTATGCACGCGTGTGTGCACGAGACAGACAGAGACTTCAGTGTATGTGTGTGTGTGTGCATGAAAGAGACAGAAACAAAGGCTCCAGTATGTGTGTAAAAGAGACGGAGAGACAGTGAGACAAAGAGATCCCAGTCCACCACCGTGAAGAACATACTATGCTCCCCTCCGTGGGGACAAAGCCGAGACACAGCCTTGAGGGGCACCAGGGGTGAGGTGTGAGTTTTCAAGTGAGGAGGACTCTGGCTTCCTGTAAACCTCTGTGCTGAGATTTCACTTCAGAAATCAGCTCCACTCCACAAAAACCAAATCTCCAAAGTCAGTTCCCCAAGTGACAAAATCTTCGAGTGAGCAGTTCTCCTAGTGGCCAACTCACCAGAAACCAGGTCACAAAATCACTTGTCTCCCAAATGACCTCTGGCTGATTTTCCAGATGACCAAATTATTGAGCATTTTTTTTCTTACGTTTTATATCCATCGTGCCCTTCTTTTGGACACAGCCCCAAACCTTCCCCTGCCTGCCTATTTGCACACAAAAGCGGGAGCAGTGGAGGGAGGACAGGGGGAGAAGAAGCAAGGCTGGGTGACAGCAAGTCACTCAGTTAACAGGCTCTCCAGAGGCAACCTGGCCTGATTTTTGGCAAACGGTGCTGGGTTATTAGTGAGGACATTCAGGCCCAGGTTCAAGCTCATAGGCCATTTCATGAGGGTGTTAGGCCCAGGAAGGGCCTCTGCCACAGGGGACAGGCACAAGAGAGCCCATGCGCCACCTCCAGATGACCAGCAGGCGGCTCGTGCATCCACCCCGGGGCGTTCTACACACAGAGAACTACGGTCTCCTTAAACTAAGCGACTCCTCATTTCCATGCATCAGACCCTGGGAGCCACCTCCAGGCCTCCTGGCCCTTTCTGCCTTTGAGAGGCTCTGATTTCACTCCCCTCCCTGAACCCATGGTTTCTCCCCGGCCTCCCTGCTTGATTCGGAGTGAGACCATTTAGCCCAGAGACCCTCAAAGCCAGTGCCATGTCCAGGGAAGCCTTAGAGTGTTTCCTGATGGGGAGAATTTTCTCTGTCGCTTTGAGCCAAGAGCCTTGACCTTGGGCAGGCATTGCAGAGGCTGGAGGGTCTGGTTTACCCTCAGGCCTTGCCCCAGCTGCACACTCCTGGGGCTAATAGGAGAGCTGGGACTGGAGCCATCCCAGGTCCCAGCCTAGCCTGAGCCAAGGATGGGATGGAATGCCTGGGGCTTAGGTCATCAGACCAAAGGTGTTTCCAGGCTCCAGACCCAATCCCCACCCAGAAGGGAGAAATCCCCCCAAGACAGTACACAGGCTAAGTTCCCGGGCCTCCACTGGGGCCCACAGCACACACATTCCCAAAGCAAGCCCAGCTACCTTCCTCTTCCTGCCACCAGCTCACAAAGCCAGACTGGCCAGGCTTGTCTCACAGCAGCCCCCACCCATGCCCCAGCCCCGGACTGCAGCCCTCCTCCCTCTTCCCCTCCCTCCATCTTTCTCCTTGCTCTCCTGGGATCAGCCAGACATTTACTCATTCAAATTTCTCTGAGGCTCTCCCCGATGGCGTGCCAGGCAGCTTCACTGAGGTGACCTCCTCTGGTCCTCCACGACCCCAGCAGGGAGTCACTTCCATCCCAGCTTTCAAGGACGGAAACTATGGCTCAGACAGTTCTACTTACTTGTCCAAGGTCACACAATTTGCAAGTGGAAAGCCACAGAGAACTGCATTTCATTTTCTCTGACAGTTTGTGGGGCCTCAAGTCCCCTTCTGCTCCCTGGGTCCCCAGTCACTGCTCCAACTGGCCACGGGACAGTGTCCTACCCTCTATGGGAACATCTGTACGAACCTCAGGGCCACAGCCAATCAATCACAATGACTCTCCTAGCCCAAACCAGTGCATCATGTCTAAATACACATAAACGTCGGCTAGGATTTCAGCTACTTCAATCCAGGGAGGTCTAACAATGAAACACCACCACAACATGATCCTCCCCAGGGCATCCTCCAGAGGGTCATGAGGAAGCCCATCTTCCCCCGTAAAGTGGAGAGAAGAGGAGGCCCACATTTATTACACACACACCTCAGTCTGAATCCCATGCTGCACATGGGCGGGAGGGAGCCAAAGAATGAGTCCAGAAAGACGCAGAAGGGTCTGAATCCCTTGCAGAGGCCTGAGGCACCACAAAGAAACCAGAGCTCCATCAACCTATGGCAGAAGCCAAGTCAAGAGTCTGGGAGCCAGTGGGCAGGGCGGAGCAGGAGCAGGCTGGACAAAGGGAGGCCAGCCCAGTGGTGGAGTGGTGGAGAGGTGCAGGAGAGGTGGCCGCCAGCTAGCTTGTGAGCAGAAGGCTCCGGCTGGTGCACCAGAAGGACACTAGAGAACACCAGGGGTGGGCACCATGCCTGGGGCCCGCAGTGATTGGCTCAGCAACTCCTCTCCTCCATGCCACAGGCAGGAGCCCCTCATTTTACCGACAAATGGCATAGAGGCCCAGAGTGATCGAACAGCTGCCCAGGGCCATGCTTGGGCAGGTGTGACAGTCCTATATGATACTCTGTAAGAAAAGTGACTCTAGGACCTCAGAGGTTGTCCTCAGAGTGCCCCATACTGACCACGTCCTAACCATAATTAAAACTGGTGGTCTGCTGAGCAGAGGACAGGTCCTGAGGTCAGGGGCAATGATGCTTTGAAGGACCAAGGTTGCCAGCTCCATGTGCTCCCTGTCCCAAGCTGGGCTGGGCAGAGGCCTGAGCACCCAGGAGCTTTAAAGAACAAAACCCAAGTGCACCCACTTCCTAGGCTTCCCGACATATGCCAAAAGCTGCTCCACAAAAGGCTCCCTCTCCATGTGAGCTGCAGGCAGGAACAAGGCGCTGCCTGCAGCTCACAGGAGCAGGGCTGGACAGAGGGAGGGCCTGCTCCACCACCTGCGGCCAGGCCCGGGAACTGGGCTGTGAACATCCTCAGAGACTGTGACACAAATGGCAATAAGATCCCTGTAGCCCCCTCCTGAAATAGGACTTGGGGAGACCAGTGCCAGACCAGAGAGGCCAAAGGCTCTGTAAGGGAACTGGCAAGCTCTGGGCTCAGGGAAGGCTAACCTGGAGGGGCAGAGATGGTGCTGAGGACCAGGGCAGGCAAGTGAGGGTCCTCGCTTGGATGCTGGCCATGAGGACAGCCAAGCCCAGGCTGAACCTCCCCCGAACACACAGTGCTTGGGCAGGATACAGCCACGAGGCTGTACAAGCCACACACACCCCCAACCATGCAGGTGTGCAGAGCAACCCCCAGTACAGGTGCCAGGAGCAGGGCACGTTCCCTGGTATTTGCTTACAAACCTTCACTCTTATCCCCACAGGTGAACTTGGTTAGCTGCACCCACCCAAGGCCTCCCACTGCAACCATCACTTTACAAATCCAGGAGATCAGGCTGGCGGTGCAGGGCTGCATGGTCTCCCATCCAGCTGCCCCTGAAGCTGTGGCCCCCAGGACCTGGCTCTCCCCTGGGAAATGGAGTGCTTGTTCTCAGAGGTGCAGAGCAATGCTGATTGAATGCAGGTAGGTTGCCTCTTCCAGTGGACACTAACATGAACCCAGAGAGGGAAGCAACAGCTCCCAGCCCCGCTAGTACATGGGAACAGACTTCTCTGGGAGTGATTTAGAGAAACAAGGAGGAGACAGTCACAGTGGGTCCAGGAAAGGATTAGGAAAGAATGCCTGTGCCCATGGACACCTGAGGGGTGAACTAGAGTCATCTGTCCACCCTTCCTTGAAGTATAGACACTTTAGGCATATGGTGAAAAGTATGGACTTTCCCTAGAGAAAAAAACAGAAACACAGACACACACATACTTTTCCATAACTATTTCAAGGAGCTTATGGGGTCTATGAGCCCAGGGGAAGAACCTCTGATTAAGAGAGTCATGTTGTATCCAGGACATTACATAATAACAAGTTTTCTTAATTACTCAGTGGTACTTATCTTGTTGGCTTTCTTAGTTATTTATTCTCTGTCTCCTATGCCAGGCTATAGCTCCATGAGGGCAGGAACGTTGACCCCCTCATTCTCCATGAATCCCCAGAACCTAGCATGCAAAAGGTACACAATAAATACTCATTGGACGAATACATGAATTTACAACTTAGTGTTGCAGTACTTAGAATTTGCTGGCATGGAGCAAACAACAAAAAGTGAAGTGGGCTTCTTTAAGAGCTTAATGACTTCAGACTCCGCACTCGACCCCTGCATCAATTCCACATCAGTCTCCGTGGGTGCAGACAGCCTTAGAGCTGTGTGCTCGCCCTTCCATTGAGACTATGGGGTGAGACCATGGCTGCATGCAGAATTCCAGGGTCTGCGGGTGCTTCCCCGTAGCCTAACCCTGAGGGGCTGCCCAGTGGCCCTGGTGAGCAGCCAGAGAGCTGGCATGGATACCTCTCTCCCGGCCCCAAGCAGGGGGCGACTCCGGGCCACGGAGACTCCAGGCATCAGTGGGGGAGCCTCCACACTGCATGCCATTGATCGCCACTAATGAATTTCTTTGTGGAAAGGAACAAACTGCTCCACAGTGAGACTGGCCAAGGCCGCCCCAGCACGGCAGCCTGGTGTCTCGGGCATGCTAATTACCGTGCTGTCTGAGTTCATCTGATCGGCTTCTGCCTACCACTGTTCCATAACCGACACACTAATCTGTCCCCACCTGATGGCTTCTGAGCAGGCCAGAGATGTACTAATAAACCTTAATGCAGACTGGTGATAAAGGAAGAAAATTATAACATGGAGATAAAAACTGTGATGTCAGCTTCTAGATTGCAATGCACTTAGCTTCCTTTGTCATACATTTCAAGGACTATTCGTTGAAACTGCTCATTGCATTTCGGGTCCCTGCTATAATATAATCCTGACTGCTCCACCCTTTCTCTCTCGTGTGTGACAGGAATTCCAGCAAGTCAGCACCGCTTGCTTATGTGGTAGATGTTACACAGATGGATTCTCAAACTAACAAGTCTTTGCAGACCATAAGGGATATGCGATTATTTGAATGAATTCAGGAGTGATGGTTTCTTTGGCATGGACAAAGAACCCCTGTGACGGGCAGCATGGTATCAGGAAAAGGCAACGGAATTTGTTCAACAGCTTTATTGAGGTAATAATGTGCAACATACAATAAACTGCATGTATTAAAATGTAAATTTTTAATGCATTTTTGACACATGCATCACACAATCAGGATACTGAACATACTCCCCAAATTTTCTTGTGCTTCTTTGCGGTCTTTCTTTCCCTATCCCCCACCCCAGTCCCCAGGCAACCACTGATCTGCAATCTGTCACTGTAGATTAGTTTCTATGTTCTAGTTTTGTATAAATGTAATCACATAGTATATACTCTTTTTGTCTTTTTTCACCCAGCCTAATTATTTTGAAATTCATCCATGTTGTTGCTTGTACCAATAATTGATTCCATTTTATTGCTGAGTAGTATTTTATCATATAAATATACCACAATTATTTATTTATTTATTTATTTATTTATTTATTTATTGAGATAGAGTTTCACTCTTGTTGCCCAGGCCGAAGTGCAATGGCATGATCTCAGCTCACTGCATCCACTGCCTCCCAGATTCAAGCGATTCATCTGCCTCAGCCTCCCAAGTAGCTAGGATTACAGGCATGCGCCACCATACCCCGCTGATTTTGTCTTTTTAGTAGAGACAGGGTTTCATCATGTTGGTCAGGCTGGTCTCAAACTCCTGACCTCAAGTGATCCACCTGCCTCAGCCTCCCAAAGTGCTGGGATTACAGGCGTGAGCCACCACGCCCAGCCCAAAATGTTTTAATTCATTCACTTGCCAATGGACATTTTGGTTGTTTTCAGTTTGGGGCTATTATGAATTAAGCTGCTACTGAAATCTTCATGTGGACTTGTGCCTTCATTTCTTTCAGGTAAATACCTGGGAGTAGAATGACTGATATGATAGGTGTATGTTTAGCTTTTTAAGAAACCGCCAAACAGTTTGTCAAACTGGTAGTGCATTTTACATTATTCCCAGCAGCAGTAAATGAGAATTCCAGTTGCCTCATAAACTTCCTGATGCTTGGTATAGTCAATCATCTTTAATTTTAGCCATTCTAATCACTGCTATGAAATAGCATGTTCTGTGGCTTTAACTTGCATTTTCCTAATCAATAATTAGCATTTCTCCATGTGCTTGTCATCCACGTATCCTCTTTGGTAAAGTGTCTATTCAAATATTTTGCCCAATTCTCACTGTGCTGTTTATTATTACTGAGTTTTAAGAGTTTTTATACTCTATACATGATTTCTTTATCAGCTATGTGATTCATAAATATTTCTCCTCAGTTTTGGCTTTTTATCCTCTTCACAGAATCTTTCAAAGAGTGCAAGTTCTTAATTTTAATAAAATCTGGCTGATCAATTTTTTTATTTTATGGATTGTGCTTTTACTGTTACATCTAAGAAATCTTTGCCTAACCTAGGGTCACAATGATTTTCCACTGTGTTTTCTCCTAGTAGTTTTATATTTTTAAGGTTTATTCTTGTGTCTGTAAAGTATTTTGACTTATTTTTACATACAGGCAAGGTGATTGTAGTATATTTCTTTTTTCTTTTTTTTTTTTTTTTTGCATACAGAAAGTTAATTGTTCCAGCACCATTTGTTTAAAAGACTATTTATTCTTTCTTCACTGAATTGCCTTTGCAACCCTGTTGAAATCATTTGTCCATATAAGTGGGGGTCCATTTTTGGATTGTCTCTCCTCTTCCAGTGATCTATCTCTCTATGTTCACACAAAAACACACTGTATTGATTATTGTAGCTTTTTAATGTTTTGAAGCTATAACTTTGAAAAACTAAAACTTTTAGTTTACTGATCATATGATGATCTATGTACAAAACTCAATGGAATCTACAAAAAAGCTACTAGCATTACCAAGTGAGTTTAGAAACACTGCAGTATAGAAACATCAATATACAAAAATCCATTGTATCTATAAACTAGCAATGGACAATTGAAATCTTGTAGTCATGTAGTGAAATCGAAATTGAAGTCATGTTGTGTTAGTCCTCCAAGTTTATTCTTCCTTTTCAAAGTTGTTTTGACCATTCTAGGTACTTTACATTTCCATACAAATTTTACAATTAGCAATTTCTACCAAAAAGAAGAAGCATGCTGAGATTTCTATTGGGATTACATTGAATCTATAGATTAATTTGGGGAGAACTAATATTTTTAACAGTAATGAGTCTTCCAATCCATGAACACAGTATGTCTCTCCATTTATCTTGATCTTCTTCAATTTTTCTCAGCAGTGTTTTGTAGTTTTCAGTGTACAGATCTTGCTGATTTTTGTCAGATTTATCCCTAAATAATTCCCATTTTGTATGCTATTGTAAATAGTATTCTTCTTTATTTTGATTTCAATTGTTCATTGCTAGTATGTAGATACAATGGATTTTTGTATATTTTTTAGACTGCAATGTTGCTAAACTCACTTGTTAATTCTAGTATTTTTCTGTAGATCCCACTAAATTTTGCACATGGATGATCATATAATCAGTAAATTTAAAGTTTTCATTTTTTTCTTTCCAATCTGGGCATCTTTGTTTCTTTTTCTTGCCTAATTTTCTGGCTAAAACCTCAGCTACAGCACTGAATAGATACAGTGAGAGTAAATATCCTGTCTTGCTCCTGATCTTAAGGGACAAGCATATAGTCTTTCACTATTAAGTATGATGTTCCTCATGGATTGTTTATAAATTCCCTTTATGAAGTTAAGAAAGTTACCTTATATCCCCAGTTTGCTGAGAGTTTTAACATAACTGAATGTTGGATTTCATCAAATGCTACAACATAATCATACGTGTTTTCTTTTTAAGTCTATAATAATGGTGAATTACGTCACTTGATTTTTGAATGTTAAATCAGCCTTGTATTACTGGACTAGGCCCTGCTTGCTCACAATGAAGTATTCTGTTTATATATTGTTACTAATCTTTTGTTGAAGTTCTTATGAAGGACATCAGTTTAATTTGCTTGTCACGTTTTGGTCAGTTTTAGTACCAGGATAACACTGATCTAATAGTATAAGTTTGGAAGTATTCTCTTCAGTTTTCTGGATAAATTGGCATAAATTGGTAATATTTCTCTCTTAAATATTTGGCAGAATTAACAGTGAAGCTATCTGCGTCTGGAGTTTTCTTTCTCTGAGGTTTTTAAACTAGAAATTCAATTTCTTTAATCAGTATATGACCATTCAGGCTTTCTGTTTCTTCTGGAGTATGCTTTAGTAATTTGTGTCTTTCAAGGAATTTGTCTATTTCAGCTTAGTTGTCAAATGTGTTGGCATAAGGTTTTTCAAAACATTCCCTTATGATTGTTTAATGCCTCTCACATCTATAGTGATGTCACCTTTCTCATTTCTGAAGTTGGTAATTTGTGTCTTCTCTCTTGTGTTTTCCCAGTCAGTCTGTTCAGAGGTTTATCAATTTTATCTTCATGAAAAACCACTTTTTGTTTCATTTATTTTCTCTACTGTTTTTCTGATTTCCACTTCATCATTTTCCACTCTAATCTTCATTTATTCTTTCTTTTACTTATATTGGATTTGATTTGCTCTTTTTTCCTAGCTTCCTAGGTGGAAGCTCAAGTAATTTGAGGACTTTCTGCTTCTCTAAGGGACAATGGGGCTTCAAGCTTCATAGCCACCAGTGTTTGTCTTTCTTGATGGGTGACCTTAATCAAGTTCAATAGCCTGCCTGAACCTCAGTTTTCCCATCTGGAAAATGGGGCCAAAAGTACCTAACTTACAGAGGTGTTACGAAAACTCCATGGGGCCAGTTTTTTTTAAACACTAAACTCAATGCTGGCATGCAGTGATTATTCAAATGCTTCTTCTTTCCTGTCCCCATGACAAGCAACCACTTCATCACTTCCTTGGGTGACAACCCCAGAGCACATAAGAAGCACACCATAGCCACAAAACACAGAGATCAATGCAGCCACAAGAGAGTCCAGCAGATCTGATCTATTCATTTAGAGAGAAGCAAACTGAGGTAGAGAGACTAACTCCCAGGCAGAAGCAACTGTTCCTCTGGACTAGCTTTAGAGGTTTAAGCTGGGGAAACCAGGTTTTCTATGACACTCAGTGCCTTGGTGGACATCCCAGAGAAGAGCCAAGGAAAGGCAGCCCCAAATCCCTTTTAGCTTTTACCTTATCATTTGACCATCCCCAGAGGACAGAGATCCAGGTGGGTTGTGGTAGGAAAAGTATGGTCATTGGGGGCGGGGCGGGGCTCAGACCTCTTTTGCCACTTGCTGTCTCTGCGACCTCAGAAAAATTACTTCACCTCCCTGAGTCTCCATTTCCTCATTGGTAAAATTGGGTTGATAATAATATCAAGCATCTGATAAGCACTTTCTATGAGACAGGCACTGAGTGTTATTCTGGTGCCAGCTCTCTATACCTTACAAGAAGGCTATGATGTAGACGCCTACAGGCAACCTGAGACATGGAGACATTGAGTACCTCACCCAAGTTCATGCTACCTAGAAAGGCTGGAGGCAGGATTTGAACTCAGACAGTCTGCACCAGAGTCTGAGTGCTAAATCATCATCCAGTGCTGCTAATTACACTATCCTCCCAGGGTTTTATGAGAATTAACGAATATCCCTAAGGGACCCAGCACTGAACGAGACCAGGAAATGTGAGATTCCCAGGAGCAGCCAGAGGCTGGGGAGCCCCAGGAAGAACAGGTAATGTTCTTGGCATCTGTGCAAGCTGAGAAGCACTGGGGCTACTCTTGGGGCTGCGCTAGTTCCAGGGGAGGTATTTATAGTGCAAGAGGCATCACGCCTGCTCAGGCTGAGCTGAGCCCAGAGCTGATTTGCACATGGAATTGGCCATTATCGGCTCATTTCCATAAGGCAGCTACATGGGAGGAATAATTCAAGGAGAAGTTCCCACCACCCATCTCCTAAGGAGCTTTAACTTCACAGTTGCTACATAAGACACACAACTAGAGATGTCAGAGTCACAGGGACCACCCCCAGCCCTGTCCTAATTGATGGAAGGGAAATAAGTCTTGAAGGAAGAGACCCACCAAAAGCCCATTGGTGGGTGATGGAAGGGCTGGGTGAAGACTCCAGGAGGACTCCAGGCCTTTGCCCTGCCCTGCCCTGTCCATCCTCTGCAGCCCCTTATAGCGCAGATCCTCAGTTAGTACTGATGAGTGACACACATGGTGAAGTGAATAGAGGCGTGAGCGTGTATGGCTCCTACATGGACTGCAGCAAGTTGGGCACTAGTTCTTCATTGCACAGATGGAAAGATAAGTTAATTCAAAGGTGCCTAGAAAATAAGCAGAAAAGCTGCATAGATCTAAACCCCACTTTTCCCCTAGCACAAGGCTGAGTCCCTGCATGGCTAGAATGCCCGTTCAGCTATGCTGATGCCATCCCCATGCCAACAAGGGCTCAGGCTCTGCTCCCTTCAGGGACCAGCTCATTCCCCAACAAACCAGGCCAGAGGGAAAATGGGAGCTGCAGCCCACCAGGAGAGCAGCCCTTGCTAGGCCTGTCCTGTCCATACCTTCCATTCTGCCAAGCTACCCCATCCCCCTGCCAGCCCGCTGTCTAAGCCTAGAAACAGGTTCCTTTGCCAAGACCCACTCCCTGAGGAATAGAGAAGCCTCTGTGCCCAAGGCATACAGGAAGAATGCCAGAGGGCTGGGAGGGGTGGGGACAAGCATTTACAGCACCTCCCTCTCTCTCGGGGCCCGAGCAGGTTGGCAGGGCTGCCCTGGGGCTACAGGACACATATCTATTCTTCTCATCATCCATCACCCACCACTGCCAACATCCCCTATTAAAGAATAACCAAAACAGAACCCCAAATGTGCTAGGCACATCAGTAATCCCATTTAATCCACTATCTAAGCTATGGGGATGGTGCCAGTGTTATCTCTGCTTGATAGATGAAGATGCAAAGAAGGTCAGAGTGGTCCAACTAGACAAGTGGCAGAGCATAAGTTGAGCCCAGTTCTGGAATTCTAACCACAAGGAGCCACAGCGGGAACCAAGTGTCTGACACAGGGAGATCTGTGGCTGAAGCCCCACTCCGCCAGGCCCAGGGCTCTCCTGATCCACACCAGTGAAGAAGCAGGCAGATTTGTGAAACACCCATTTTCCACCATCCAAAGCCACTTCCCTCTGGTTTCCTGCATCTCAACACCCACAGGCACCTGCTGGCACTTTCAAAGCTCTACTCCCCTTCTCTAAAAGTGGGGGTCATGTCTGCAGCTCAGATATTATGTGACCCTGGAATCCAGGACTCAAACCAGACTCACTGTCATTCCTTTCAACTCTCTCGTGTTCTTTGGTATGATGGAACCCCTGGCCTCCTAGGCTAGTGATGGGACCTTTGGGGAACTTCTGATGTCAACCTTCCCACTCCACCTGGCCTAACTAGTCGGCTTCCAACTCCCGTCACTTCCTGCTACAAAGTGGCCCCATGTGTCTTCTATGCTGTGGTCTCACTGCTACCACCCCCAGTAAGCCCTCATCACCATCCCAGAAGTCCTGACACAGCCTCCTCATTACTCCCCTGCCTGTGGTCTCCTTTTCCCCAGCATCCCTACCCTCTACACACACACACACACGCACACACACACACATCACATGCACACATTTCCACTCTATTCCACAAACTGCACTAAAAACACAACTTTATAGATCCCTGACCATGAACCTGCAATAGCTCCCTATTACCTATGCCCTGTTACCTACTATTGACACTTGAGGCCAGAAAGTTCTTTACTGTCAGGGGCTGTCTTAAGCGGGTGCTGTGCGATGTTTATCAGCATCCCTGGCCTCTACCCACTGAGGCCACTAGTACTCCTCCCTATCCCCTGTTATGACAGAGAAACACAAATGTCCCCAGACGCTGCCAAATGTCCCCGGGGCCAGAGGTGGGAGGAGGCTCTTGTGCCCACTAAGAACCCCTGCCCTGCAAGGACAAAGGTCAACTCCTAACATGGCTTTCCAGGCCCTTCTCTTTTGCCTGAAAACTCACCTAACCCTCCTTGCTAACACCCCACTCTCTGACCCTCGTGCTTCTCTGTGCTCAGGCTGTTACCTCCTGGGACCTCTGTCTCCCTCTGCCCAAGCCCTCCCTGCCTTCCAAAACCCAGTGCAAGTCCACCGCATGCCTTCCGTGACTCGGCCCCAGGCTCCTGCCTTCCCTTCAAAACACACCGTTACCTTGAATATCCTCTGTGTCACCATCTAGTCGCCCACCCCCAAGCAGGTCACAAACACTATGTGAGTGGGACACATGGTGTGATCCTAACCGGCCCTCCAGAATAAGAAGCTCTGACATGTGGCACTTACTGGCCTCCATGAAGTAAATATTCCCACCGGGACTGATTTCTAGTCACTGAAGTGCTGTGACCAAACACAGAGTTGGGAAGAGGTGGCCCAGTGGCTCACACGAGCCCCTGTGCACAGGCTCCAGTGCACCCCACATACCTCCTCCCTTTGCTGCCCCTGGGCCCCACAACAGGTGTGGGGGCCCATGAAGCCTGGCTGTGCTGGTGTCAGGGAGGGGCTGGGCAGTGCCCCATGGCTACAGCCTGGCTCTGTAGCCAGGTCCTCTGACTGCAGTGGCAGTAGCCAAGACCTGGTTAGGTCCCAGATGAACCAAAGGCACCCCTGACATGCCCATCCCCATCCTGCAGGTGTGCAGGGCCCCTGGAGCTCACCTGGCTCTCCCTTCCCTGCACAAGCCAGGCTAGAAGGAAGGCCTCAGGAAGAACTTCACCTTGAGCTGCCGAGGCCCTCCAGTGAAACCTCATGCCAACTTAGAAGAAAAGAGTTAATGTATTGATCTTTCTTGGTGACTGTTAGTAAGATTCATAGCTAGCCTCAGACCACATTCATCTGCACCTCTAACTTTAATGACTACAGGCACTTCAGATGTGTGGGTGTTCACATGCATGTGTCTATGTGCACATGTGTGCATAGTCGTGCATGCATGCATGAGTGTGTACGTGCATGCATGCATGAGTGTGTACCTGCATGCACATGTGCATCTGTGTGTGCTCAAATGCATGTGCCTGTGTGAACACACATGCACATATTGTGTGTGTGAGAAAGAGAGCTCCAGATCTCTGGGCTTTTTATTTCTGTCACCTCTAACCTAGTTGCTGAATCGCACAATAAGCATCTGCTCAGGCCTGTTACATGCATTTGATGCCACAGACTCAAAGTCAGGTAAAGCAGGCTTTTCACCCTGGAGGAGCTTACTGTCCAGAGGGAGGGAGAAAAGGAAGTCAGTAATTATGGCCCAGTAACCTGGGGTGAGATGCACAGAGGGCATCTGTGGAACCCAGAGAAGGGACAGCCCACCTGGCAGGGGAACAAGGAGAAGAGAGGAAACTTCCAAAACAAGGAGACGCTCAAATAAGTCTTGAGGATGGAGGAATAGCTTTCAGGCAGTGAGGTGGCTGGTCCAGGTCGGGGAGCCATGTGGGATGGTGGGGTGTGACTGGGACACATTCAGGAAGGTGAGTCCCTGGGTGTGGTGGGGAGTGCAGATTGCAGTCACATCCATCCCCCACCCTCCCCTGTTCTTCCCTCTAGAGTGCCCACCCCTCCCCTTCCCAGACTCCCTATCCTGCTGATTACCACTGACCACTGAGAAGCATGGTCAGGAGACTCAGGCACAGGAGGAGGAGGAAGCCAGGTATTTCACCCTCTCTCTGCTTCCAGTGTCTCTGGCCATGGTTGGGTCTCCCACATGCTCCCAGTTCCCTCAGGGTGGCCCCTCTATGAGGTCCCAGTACCCACTGGACAGTCATGGCTCCAGGACCATCTCTCCCATTCATCCCTCGAGCCCTGGGAGTCACTCCAGCCCTGCCCAGTTGTTAGTCTGGGCTGCTTCCACTCCACCTGTCCTCAACTCTGCCAGCACTTGTCAGTAGTTCCTCATGTTAAATCCCCTCCTCTGAATGACCTGGAGTGGGCCATGTGTTCCTGATGGCACCCCTGCTGATCCATCCTGCGTCGCTGGGACACAGAGGTCTTGAGGGAGTGATGAGAGAAAGGCCAGGGAGAGACAGACCTTGGAGGCCCTGTGCACTGCGAGAAGGGATCTGAACTTGATCCTTAAGGAGAGGGGGAGACATTCAGGGGTCTAAGCAGGGCAGTGAGTTAAGGAAGGTGACTTTGGTGGCAGAATGAAGGATGAATGGATGTCTTCCAAACAGTGTGGCACAAAAATGCCCACCACACACAAACACATACAATCCCATTGCAGCAACACACACCCACAGACACCTGCGCACACACACACACATGGAGGCTCCAAGAGACGACATTCCTCTCCCAACACCCTCAGAAAGCCAAGTGGACCAAAGGTAGAAGCAACCCTTAAGTGTCCATCGATGGATGAATAGGTCAATAAAATTCTGTCTATCCACACAATGGAATATTACTCAGCCTGAAAAAGGAAGGACGTTCTGATGCATGCCACAGTGTGGAGGAAAGTAGAAAGCACTATGCTAAGTGAAATAAGCCAGTCTCAAGGAACAAATACGGTACGAGTCCACTTATATGAGGCCCCTAGAATAGTCAAAGTCAAGAGACAGGAAGGAGAACAGTGGGTGCTGAGGGCTGAAGGGAGGGGGGAGATGGGGGTCTTTGTTGAATGAGTACAGAGTTTCGGTTTGGGAAGATGAGAACCTTCTGGAGATGAACGGTAGTGACTGCAATATGACTGTACTTAACACCATTGAACTGTGCGTGAAAATGGTTAACATGGTAAATTTTGTGTTGTATATATATTTTTCCACAATAAAACAAAAAACTACAAAAGTAAAGTAGGAACTTCCCAGAGCACAGGTAGAATCCAGCACACAGGACCAGGGCCAACAGGTGATGTTCACACCGATATATGTGGTGATTCCACAGAACCACAGGGGTCTCCAGCAACAAAATCCTTAAAGGCCCCACAGTGAGGATGCAGCCTCCCAGAGCCTGAGTCCCAGGCCTAAGGCTCCACTGTGTGTGGGTCCCTCTGCAAACAGAATGTGTGAGAGGCCAGAGCGTGTGTCTCAGGAGAGCCCGGGAGGATGGGAAGCAAGGAAGACAGAAGAGAAGGTGAGGCAATGAAAAAATGCCTCCCAGTTCCCTTAGCCCCATCCAGCCTCAGCATCTCCTAACTTGGGGCCTCAGGAGCTCACCCTACCTGCACCCTCCACTCTCTCCTCATTCCCAGGGCATGGTATCCAGAACGCACTCACCTGTAGCTCAGGGTGGTTGGGGTGCAGTCAGGAGAGTGAGGGCTTGAGATCTGAATCGCCACCTGCAGCTGGGGTCCCCCCAGCCTGCTCCTTATGTGACCTGGTGGCAGATGCCTACCTTGTTGAGTTACTATAAAGACCAATACAGGAACTGTGGTTGTGTGCCTGGCACAGAGTAACTACACAGTGAATGTTTGATTCCCTTCCTTTAGGAGAAGCAACGCAAGGCACGTTATTCTCTTTATGATCCATTAGCAAAGCTCAACCACGTGGCCTTTGGTGGGCCTCTAGGCCTGAGGAAACCATGCCAGGGTCTCTAGGGAGAACCTCTATCTCATGATGGCCAATCATCCAGGGGCTTGTGGGCACACCAGAGCTAAGAACCTTCCTGCCATAGTACCCAGGGTGGGTCCCTGGGGGACAGAGGCAGCCCCTTCCAGCTCAGGTCAACTCTGACAGTTGGAAAGTTCCTTGACATACTGCACCCTATTCTCTGCACCATTTCCTCATTAGTCCCATTCCTGGGACCCCTCAGCTCACATCAGCCCATCCCCCAGCTCCAGGCCTGTCAGAGACCTCAGAATCCCTCCTTTCTGAATTCCTGCCAGCTTGTCTCCATTCCACCAGAGAGGCATGTCCCTCAGTGCAGGATACACCAAAGGGACCACCCAGCCCTCACCACCTCCCTCCCTCCCTTCCACTGCTCACTCCCACTACCGCTCACTCCCACCAAGCTGCAGATAATTCAATCCTCAAATCGCTTCTCACAAGAGCTGCTGCCGACCTAAGTGGGCCCTTGCTGCATTTTATCTGGTTCTCTGATTTTGGATTTTGTCCCTGACTTTCTGCCCAATCACACTTCTCAGCAAGATGGCACCCAAGAATGGAAACAACAGGGGCCAGAACAAGGTCTGTTCTCCTCCAGAACACTTCTCCTTTCTCTGCCTTATTTTGGTAACTGGCATCTCATCACTGTATTCTAGCTTCCTAATTTGAAAACAGAATCTCCTGCAGCCCAGCCGCTCTGCTTTCTAGCAATCCAACCCCTAGAAGTACTTAGAGATACATGCATGAGGATGTATCCACGGCTGCGCACTACAGCCCTGTGTGACGGCCAAGAACTAGAAGCCACCTGAATCAAGACATGGAGGAATAAAGCCCACTCTGCAGAATGTTGTGCAACAGGCAAAAAGAATGGGGTAGAACCAAGTGGGCAATATGGAGCAAAAGCTGCAAAGCCCATCAAGTAAAAGCATGTCACCAAACAATGCCCGGGGCATGGTTCCCCTTCTGCGTCTGCAAAGCACTGTATCTGTGTGCACATGTGGCATGTCCAGGCAAGGCCTTTACTCACCTCAAGAGAGGAAGGCAGATAGGTGGGAGAGGGAGAACACGTGCCTAATGGGTGCTTGCTTTGTGTTTTAAATGTGTATGTTGTTTTAATTTTTTCAACAAGAGTATATTCATTTTGTGTATGACTTATGTATATGATACAAATAATTTCAAAGCAAAAATCCCAAAGCAGGGTGGTCTCCCCTTCCACATCTTCCCACTCCCCTTAGAACACAAGGCAGCCCCTCTGCCCTGCTGGAACCCCTCACATTGGGCTGGTCTCTGCTCAGCCCTCCTCACCCCAACAGGACTGCACTCGGCCACCAATGCTTATGAAGGCCTCCCCCAGCTCTGCTACGGCTCTATGGTGAGCACTGCACAGCCCCCCTCACACCCCTTGTCCCACTTACAGCAGTTCCTGTCAGGGCAGGGACCATGCCTGCCTTGCTCTCCTCCTGAGCCCCACCCAGCACCTGGGACTGCAAAGGCCTTTGGTGGACATTTGTCCAACAGAACTAAACTGAATGGACACATGAAGCCTCACTCCGTGGGCAGCAAGGAGTGCCAGAACGCACAACCCTTGCTATGACCCGCTTCAAGTCTGGCCCAGAGGAAGCTTAGGCAGAGGCAAGTCCTATCCCTACCCTTCCAGGAATGGTAAGTTCCAGCTTGGGATCAGCTGAGCCATGAGAGGGCCACACTGCACAGTCAGCGACTGTGCTTGACTGAGAAACAGCCAAGCAAAACCCACTTCTACATTTGCTGTAAAGGTTGAGCTGGAATTGCCATCCATTCTGTCCTTCATGGTCTCCTGTAGAGATCAGGTCCCTCAGGGAGGATTCTTTGCAGTGCTGAGGGGGGCCTGGTCCCTCTGCTTCCTCCCACCCTGTAACCTGTGGCTGCCAGAATAGCATGACCACAGCCGTCCTTGGCACCTCTTGATTTTCTAATGCAGTTGCTTTCTTAACCTCAGTGTCTCTCTAAGAAGACATTAGAAGCCTCTGCAAATTCTCTCTGGATGTGTGAAGGAAATAAACAAATAAGCAAACAGGCAGACAATGCAACCTGAAACAATCAAACCAAAAATCAGAGGCAGCGTGCCAGGTTCATGTGCAGCCTCCTACCCTGGCTGGGGGTTGGCAGCAAACAAGCCCCCGCGGCGACCACGCCATCAGGTGGGTAAGAGGATAACTTCCAGCAAGGAACTGGGTACGTGAAGGGCTGAGAGGAGACATAATGTTACCCACATGGCTGTGTCTGGGCGTGACCCCCACCTTTTGGTTCTAAGTGGCCTTGTCACCACTCCCAGAGCCTTCCACAGAAAATACGGGGCAGGCAGCTGCCACCTGGATCAAAACCACCAGGCTTCCTGCAGTCCAGAACTAGTCACACAAGATACAGGCAATTTCATCCTTTTAACATTCCAGAGCAATGCAACCAGAGAGAACGGGCTTCCGTTCTTGAGCATCCTTACTACACAGGAGAAAGTTCACACAGAGGACAAGCCTCGACGTCACAGCACATGCCTCACATCAGAAGAGGAAAACCCTATGACAGACACGACAACCTGGCCTCTGAGACCGCTAGCACAGCTTCCCTTCCATGGACCCCTTCATCCTTTCCCATAAGCTGCTGACCCTCCATCCCTCCTCCCTCTCAAATATGCCATGCCATTCACACCCTGGCATTTTAGTCACAGGTTTCCTCCATCTGCAGAAGCCCTCTTGCTCCCAGCTGTAATTCAAAACCCACTGCTTCCCGGGACAGAGTTGGGGCTCTAGGCTTCAGGGCTCCTAGCACAGTTTGTTCAGCGCTTGGCTCAATCACAGGCCTTGTACCCAGCATTGTCCTGGGTACTGCGGAGGAGTAAGAAAAACGAGAAATGGTCTGGGACCTCAGGGAGTGCAATCACTCTCAAATCCATCACTTCATTTCATTTCATTTCAGCCTCACAGGAACCCTCCACGGTAGGCGTTTTTATTATCCCCACTACTAAAGTGGGAAAACAAAGGATCAGAAAGAGTTGCCAGTGTGCCCAGAAGCACGTTAGAAAAAGATAAAGCCAGGAAGAGAACTAAGTCTTCCAACACAAGCCAGGCTCACCCACCAGACCTCAGCAGCACCATTGCCATCTCACTGTGATTCATATGTGTTTTGTAGTCATTCTTGACTTGAAGCTATGGGAAGAACTTTCTCAGGGGCTGGCCACATCTAAACTACATTCCAGTCCTGACCCCTGGCATACACAGGCAGTCTACACACTTGACAAGGAGGAAGGTATAGACAGAAACACAGCAGGCTGAACAAGCCAGTGCTCTACTGAAAGTGGAGGAGGGAGGGGCTTTGCCTTTGCACATACTTGGACTCCATAGGAAGCATATATTACTGCTGTAATTGGTAAACTCAAGGAAAGAAACAAATGCTTCTGGGCCAATAAATGGGCAATGAAACACCCCCAAAATATCAATTCACTCATTCACTCATCAAATATTTAATGAGCACCTACTAAGCTTTAGGTGCTGTTCTAAATGCTGTGGGTCCAGTATCACTCAACCAAGCAAACAAAACTGCCTGTCTGCATGGAACTAGTTGGGGAAAGACAGACATCAAAAGATGAGTAAATGGGAATAAATTCAATGGAAAAAGGGAGAAAGAGGTGCCAAGAGAAAATAGAGTTCCATTTTTAAATAAATTGGAAAGGGAAGGCCCCACGGGACAGATGGAATTGAAGCAAAGCCCCGAAGGTGCAGCTTGCAGACGTCTGCACGTGCAGGAAGAGTGTCCCAGGCAGAGGAAACAGCCAGCCCAAAGCCTCTGCAGCAGGTTGTGCCGGGCACGCTCATGGAGCAGCAAGGAGCCGGAGCTGGAAGGCAGCAGACAGGGAGCAGGAGGAGGGGAGGTCCCATCTGGACTAGTGGTCCTTCCAGAAGTCTGCAGCCACATCTCGCTGGTACCCTTCCTGGAATTCTAGTATTTAACAACACAACATCTCCCTTGTTCCCTCTCATGTGTGGAGCAAAGGAGGTCTGGGGAGTGTGGGTCTGGCAGGAGGGGGATATCAACAGGAGCCCGCATCGGTCCTGCAAGGGCACAATGGTGTGTGGTGAGAAGAGGAAACGGGGGACGATCTGGACAAGTTCTTGCTCCCTCAACTCCAGCAGGACCCAGCAGCACACCGGGGCATGTGTGGGAGTCGGCATAGCCTCACTTTCCAGTCCTTTATGCAGGCCTGCATCAGGCATCTCCTCATGTCTCCAGACGCACTCTGGAATCTGATGGAGGGGTGAGGGAACTTCAGAGTTAATAAACTTTAATCTTCTAGGGCACACTGCAATTAACACACCCCAAAGTACAGTTACTTTGTAATTAGATCGAAGAACAAAACCCAAAACACTCATCCAGGTAAAGTTATTGTCAAACTTCTTCCATAGGTTTCCTAGCAATTAAACTCACTTACTCATTTTGTCTGGAAAAAGTATGTATTACTTCAATTTAAACTAATGCCATAATGATCCAATGTGTATTATTAATGAGATCAGCATGGCAGTTCAGTCATCTGGCCTGCTTTGCCAGGGGCCGCAAAGGAGACGTCAGCAAGGGGCATTGATTAAAGTAACATTTGCCCCGATAATTCCCTTTCTTCCACGGAATTTTACTTCAGGAAGACTCTGGGGGTGAGATCCCGACAGATATTTTCTATGAAAACCAGTTAAGCTGTCCAGCTTAGAAGGCATGATGGCTCTTCGGAGCCACCTGTGACTGTGCAAGGAGACCTTGGGGAAGCCTTGGCAGCTCAGCTCCTCCATAGGGCAAGGTGTGTAACCTGCAGGTGAAAGAGCTGACCCCCAAGCTCTCTCTGTTTCCCCAAGCACCAAGAACACAACCAAAATACAGCTGTGTTCTGGGCTGCTGAACAAGCCAGGACTGGGATTCACCAGGTCTGCCTTGGGAAGCCAAGGAAGAATGGACAGCAATGGGACCACTGCTGGGCACAGCTCCAGAGTAGTAAGTGTTACTGAGCAGTTACCACGCGCCAGGTACTGAGCTAAGCCCCTGACATCTATTGACTCATTTAATCCACACGTTAACCCCATCAGGCAGAAAGTAGTATTGTATCGCAATTTTACAAATGAAAAAACTGTTGCACAGAGAGGTTGAGTAACTTGCCCAATGTCACACAGATATGGCAGCGGAGCTGGGATTCAACAAGAAGACTGCTCTGGAGCCCATGCCCCTAACTATTAAACGCAAAGGTTATCCTGAGCCTGACTGGAGGAGCAAACTGCCAAATCTCTTGCACCAAGATTCTACCAAGGTTGCCTAGTGCCCACACGCACTGCCATGAGGGAAGAATGTTGGTTCCTACCACTCTTGGTCCCCATGCATGGTTTGTTGTGATCATATAGACCACTTACCATGTGCCAGGCACTCTACTAGTGTTTTGCCCTTACAGCTCAGAAATTACCCTATAGATGAAGAGGCTGAAGCTCAGAGAAGTCACCTTGCACAGGAAGCAGGAGGCAGAGAGGAATGGCGATCCATGCTTACTTTTTTATTTACTCATTTATTTTTTGCACTTGATGCAAAACTCAAAAAGTACAAGAAGTTATGCAGTGAAAAATTCATCTCCCATCCCAGTCCAACCCACTGTGTTTCCTTTCCTTAAACAGCATTTCCTTGGAGTGACCATGTGTGTCCACTCAGATACACACACATAGAAGCTCACTTGTACACAAAGCAACACCCACGTCACCATTCTCACTTCTCTATTGTCAGCTAACAGCACCATGTTTTGGAACTACTTCTACTCAGTACATAAGGAACTAGAGTTTTCCATTACATGTAAATATCATAATATATTTAACCAATTTGCTGAAGATGGACCTTTAGGTTGTTGCTAATTTCTGATGTCATCAAAAATGCCACAATAAATCTTTGTACATCAAGCAAAGACTCTACCACGGTGTTTGCTCCCCACAGCTTTGCCAAGAGGCTGTGAACAGAGCTGTGGACCCTTTGGGAACCAGAGCTGGCCAGCCCCCAACTCTCCAGCCATATGGCCTAGAGCAAATCCCTTTACTTCTCTGAGTACAGAACCCACCATGTGGGGTTGCCATTGGGATGATGTGAGCAAGGGCAGCTCCACGCTCTTTCAGGGCACCCAGCATGAAGCAAGGGCTAGAGGGACTTGGAGCTGTTACCCGCTGGCATGACGCCTGGGTCATCTGGGAAATTCGGGTCCTACCTCTAGCTTAGACTCTGGGACTGTGGTTTGTCCTAACTCGGATCATCATTCCTGAGAATGTGTCAGTTTCTGCCCTTTTGTTTGCAGAGAATGACTTCAGACAGGACGCAGTGAAAGGACCAGAGCCTTCTAGAGATGAAGGCTTTGCCTTTGTCTGTCTTCAAATCTCTGGATGGGGTATAAAGAACAGGACCCAAGAGTGCCACCCGAGGTAGCAAGATATGGCTCCCAGAGATTTCTGGGGATCCTGAGCATCTAAGGCCTCCTCCGACTGTCTCTCCAGTCTTATCCCTAGCCAATTCCCATATTCCAGCCATATGATCTTTCCTCCTCTCCATTGCCCCCAGACCTTTCCTCTGGAAAGAGGGAAGCAAGTTCTTCCCTCTGCTTAGAACACTCTTCCTACAGCCCTCAGTGCCCTTTGCTTGCCTAACAAAAAATAAAAACTACTCCTATTTAAGCACCTGTTTAAATGTCACCTCCAGCCCCCAGTGCCCTTTGCTTGCCTAATAAAAAGTAAAAACTACTCTTATTTAAGCACCTGCTTAAATGTCACCTCCTCCAGGAAGCTCTTCCTAACCACCTTGCCATAGGCTGCACTGAATTTGCATGAGCTTTCTTCAGTTGCCACCAAGGAAAAGACTGGCCCAAAGGCATGGCAAAGTGGAGCAGTGTCAGGGTGGAAGGAATATCAGCCCACAGATGCTGAGAGAGGTAGGCTTGCTAGGCTCGCAGAGGGGCAGGGGAGGGCAGGCACAGCCTGGCCAGGCCATAGCTGTGGACACCTAGCCAGGTGGACAATATCTGCCCTCCATATAGAGAGGGAGGTTTCAGCAGGAAAATTTCTTTCTGACATTCAGGTAGGAAAGGACTTCTTAAACAAGACAAGCAAAAGAGCTAGCCATAAAAAAAGATGACTACATTTGACAACAATACAATAAAGAATTTCTGTTCACTAAGACAAACAATTAACTTAAAGAAGATATTGCCACACTTAAAAAGAAAAGGCTCGATTTTAAAAACAGGCAAAAAAATCAACTACAAACAGGTGTTTCACAAAAAAGAAAATAAAAATAGCCCATAAAGATGTGAAAAGATACCCAACCTCATCTATCATCAAGAAAATGTACATTAAAATCAAAATAAAATTACATTTTACACTAGAAACCTAAAAGTAACAAGAAGACAAGTGTTGGTGAGGTTAGGGGACTTGGGGAAATCTCATATATTGCACATGGTAGTGTGAATAGGTAGGAATGCTTTGGAAAACAGTTTGGTCTAACCTAATAAAGTGAAATGTGCACTGACCCAAGAGTCCAGCAATTCTGCTCCTCAGAATAGACCCTGAAAAGCTCTTGCACACAAACACCAAAAGACAAATATGAGAATGTTCCTATCAGTATTTTTGGTAATAACAAAATCCTGGAAACAACACAAATGCCCACAGACAATAAAGTAGATAAATAAATCAGGGCACACAGTGCAGCAATAAAAATGATTAATACATCCACCTGCATCAAACGGATCAATCTCAAAAACCTAATGCTGAGTGAAAATTAAAAAACAATCTCAGAAGCATGCAGAAGTGTTATTCCACATATATGAGTCGCAAACCAACCATGGGTCCCATACTTGTATGATAAAACTATCAAGGAATGGAGCTGCAAGCCACTATCCTGAGCCAACTAACACAGGAACAGAAAACCAAATATAGCATGTTCTCACTTATAAGTGGGAACTAAATGATGAGAACCCATGGACACACAGAGGGCAACAACACACACTGGGGCCTATGGGAGGGTGGAGAGTGGAGGGTAGGAGGAGAGAGAGGATCAAGAAAAACAACGAATGGGTACTAGGCTTACTGTCTTGGTGATGAAATAATGTATACAACAAACTCCCATGACATGAGTTTACCTATGTAACAAACTTGCACTTGTACCACTAAGCCTAAAATAAAAGTTAAAAAAAAAAAAAAGACACTGGCTTGGGATCCTCTAAAACAGTGAAATACATGTACAGTGTTTTAAATATATGAGGCATAAATTTAAAATTTCCATGCTTAGATACAACTTGGCAAAACTTCAGACACATAAAAAGAAAAAAAAACTATCAAGGAAAGCGAGGGTCTTGTTAGCACACAATCGGGAGAGTGTTTAAGTCCCTCTGTAGGGGAGACATGGTCAGGTGAAGCACACAAGGGCTCCTTGATATTTTTCAAACTGATTGTGGGTTCATGAGTCTTCAGGTTATTAATCTTTTAATTAAACATATACATCGTAACCATGTGTAGCTTTCAATTAAAAAATAATTTTTAAACTAGCACAAATAGACAGTGGCCACTCAAACAGAGCCCTGATGTTTTGTTTCTGTGGAATCCCAGCTCCCAACCCATCCCAGGTCTGCGAGCTAGCCCAGAGACCAAGAAAGGACTGCCGTGCCCTGGAGATGCCCCTGGGCCCCTGGGGCCTAACTTCCAATGCCAGCCCATGCAACATTAGCCAAGTTACTCCACCCATCTGTGTCTTCACTGAAAATGAGTGCCTAGCAAAATACCTGGCATGCGGTAGGGATTCCGTGAATATTTTTTGAATGAAGGAGTCAATGATATCTAAGAGCTCATCATAATTACAACCTTCATCCAAATTTATTCACTAGAGGGAAATTGTGGATACAGCTACTAGCACCCCCCTCCCACCTCGGCCCCTGCCAATGCATACACACATGAATATCCCAGCATTTGAAGTGGCAAGTCAGAAAGTTCTCCATTCTTTTCGATCCAAACTTTTGGTATTTTAATGTTGCAAATTTTCTCTCTCAAATGTCGTCTTCTCTTTTATTTTTCCTTTCACTGTCATAACAAGCATACAAGTATTTTCAGTGGAATTTTACCAAATAGCACATCTTGTAAACCATATACATACCAACTCCTCTCTCACCCTTCTGCCAAATTCTGTCTTGGAGCCCATGGCTTTTCCTGCTCTGATTTCTAACTCCTGGCTCAAATGCCCAGTCCTCAGGCTCTACCTGGGGCAGGACATTCCAGGGTTTAAAGGGAGGCTGATGGGCAAATGAGGAAGAATCAGGCCTTGCCCCACAAAGGAGGGAGCCTATGTATGATGCTCACTAAAGTGACTGCATCAGCCTAGAGCATGCCATGTCCTTCCAAACTACCTCCCTCTTTCTTGGCATCAACTCTGACTGGCTGGGGACAGGAGCAGGAAGCTAGAGCCTAGTAAGTCCAAATTACAGAAATAGGATGATGCCTTGGCTAAATGCATGGGTACTAAAGTCAGGAAGAACCTTTCTGAGCCTCATTTTCCTCATCTGTAAAATGTAGCAATAATCTGACCTCAGAGGGATGTTGGGTGGCTAGAATGAAGTAAAATACATAAAGGTACTTGCAGATCAGCATTGAAAAAAAGTTGCTATATTTCCAAACCACTTCTGTTTGACTTTGGAAAGAACAGAATAGTCTTTACACTTAATTTGCTTTTGAATTGTGCTCATCTGCAGCTAGTGCTACAGTGAGTCAGTGGGAGGAGGGGCCCTGAGGTGTTCCAGAGGCACCGTTTGTCTTGGCTGTATTAGCAATGTGTATCCACCTAGGAGTGACACTGGGACAGGCCACAGCCAGCCATGCCGAGGGAGCAGCCACACTTGCACTCCGAGGGCTGGATGTGCTGCATCAAACAGCAGATAGGCTGAGCTGCCTTGGCTCACTTGACACAAGCATGTTGGAAATGGGCAGCAGCTGGGCTGGGCATGAGGGGAAAGCCAGGACGAGCACTGGGCACCGGGTTAAAATTTTACAGAAAATGTGTAGAGGCAGAAACCAAGCCTCAATGCTTGTCATATCAGGAGGCCGATGACCAGGGCAGGCAAAGGCAGGAGGTCCTGCACAGAATCCAATAAAAGAGTTCTCTGGCCTCCAGCAAGCCGAGAGCCAGAAGGGCTAGCACCCTGGACA